>NC_000001.11:248777393-248946422 GCF_000001405.40 Homo sapiens
GATCTTCACCTACATTTCACAGGATGTATGGAAATGCCTAGATGTCCAGAGAGAAGTCTGCTGCAGGGGTAAAACCCTCATGGAGAACCTCCACTAGGGCAGTGCAAAGGGAAAATGTGGAGTTGGAGCCTTCTTACAGAGTCCCCACTAGGGCATGCCTAGTGGAGCTGTGGGAAGGGGTGCACCATCCTGCAGAACCCATGGTCAATCCACTGACAGCTTGCACCATGAACCTGGAAAAGCCACAGGCACTCAACACCAGCACATGAAAGCAGCCATGGGGGCTGTACCCTGTGGAGCCACAGAGGCAGATCTGCCCAATGCCTTGGGAGCCCACCCCTTGCTTCAGTGGGCCCTGGATGTGAGATGTGAAGTCAAAGGAGATCATTTTGGAGCTTTAAGATATAATGACTACTCTGCTGGGTTTTAGACTTCCGTGGGGCCTGTAGCCCCTTTGTTTTGGCCAATATCTCCCATTTAGAACAGGAATATTTACCCAATGCTTGTACTCCCATTGTATCTTGGAAGTAACTAATTTGCTTTTGATTTTACTGGGTCATAGGTGGAAGGGACTTGCCTTGTCTCAGATGAGACTTTGGACTTAGACTTTTGAGTTAATGCTGGAATAAGTTAAGACTTTGGGAGACTGTTGGAAAGGCCTGATTGTGCTTTGACGCATGAGAAGAACATGAAATTTGGAGGGGCAGGGGCAGAATGATATGGTTTGGTTCTGTATCCCCACCAAAATCTCATCACAAATTGTAATCTTCATGTGTCAGGGGAGGGGCCTGGTGGGAGGTAATTGAATCATGTGGTGGGGGGAGTGGGTACTTCCCTCTTGCTGTTCTCATAGTAGTGAGTGAGTTCTCATGAGATCTGGTTGTTTGAAAGTGTGTGGCACTTTCATTTCTCGCTCTCTCATGCCACCATGTAAGACATGACACTTCACCTTCTGCCATGATTGTAAGTTTCCTGAGGCCTCCCCAGCCATGTGGAACTGTGAGTAATTAAACCTCCTTCCTTTCTAAATTACCAATCTCAGGTATTTCTTTATAATAGTGTAAAAATGGACAATACAAGGTGGATTTGTGAGATTGCAAGGGCTGGGTTTGGAGGATAAGATCAATTCAGACCCTCCAAATCAAGCATCTAGGGAACCCTGATGCAAGGGGTGGGCTCTCAAGGCATTCAGCAGGCTCTGTGGCTCTGCACGGTACAGCTCCTGTGACTGCTTTCACAGCTGGTGTTGAGTGCTGCACCTTTTCCAGGAGCAAGGTGCAAGCTATCAGCGGATCTACCATTCTAGGTTCTGGAGGATGGTGGCCCTCTCGTCACAGCTCCACTAGGCAGTGCCACAGTAGGAACTCTGTGTGGGTGCTCCGACCCCACATTCCCTTCCACACTGCCCTAGGAGAGTTTCTCCATGAGGGCTGCAAATTTTCCATATCTTTACGCTTTGCTTCCCTTTGAAACATAAGTTTCCATTTCAGACCAATCTCTTTGTGAATGCATATAAGCATACACTTTGAGAAAGAGCCAGGTTACATATTGAACATTTTTGCTGCTTAGAAATTTGTTCTGGCGGATACCCTAAATCATCTCTCTCAGATTCAAAGTTCCGCAGATCCCTAGGGCAGGGGCAAAATGCCACCAGTCTCTTTGCTGAAGTATAGCAAGAGTGACCTTTACTCCAGTTCCCAATAAGTTCCTCATCTCCATGTAAAACTTCCTCATCCTGGTCTTCATTGTGCATATCACTTTCAGCATTTTGGTCACAGCCATTCAACAAGTTTCTAGGGAGTTCCAAACTTTTTATATCTTCTTGTCTTCTGAGTCCTCTACACTGTTCCAACCTCTGCCCATTACCCAGTTCCAAAGTTGCTCCCACATTTTCAGGTATCTGTACAGCAGTGCCCCACTGTCCTGGTACCAATTTCTGTATTAGTCTGTTTTCACACTGCTGTAAAGACCACTTGAGACTGGTAATTTAGAAAGAAAAGAGGTTTAATTGACTCACAGTTTCACATTGCTGGGGAAGCCTCAGGAAACTTACAATCATGATGGAAGACAAAGGGGAAGCAAGGCATGTCCTACATGGTAGCAGCAGAGAGTGAAAAATGAGGGGAGAAACCATCAGCTCTCATGGGAACTCACTTGCTATCAGGAGAGCAGCATGGGGGAAACCACCCCCACAATCTAATCATTTCCCACCAGGCCCCACCTCTGACACGTAGAGATTACAATTCAAGATGAGATTTCAGTGTGGGCAGAGTCAAGAGCCGAATCATATCAGTAGCTAAGTCCATGGGTTGAGGCAAGAAAATTCACAAAGGCTCTGAAATCACCTGTTGTCCTGGAAAGGAGAGATTTTTCAATCCAAATGTCAGGAACAACATAGAAAGGACAAAGGAACCGATCTACAGTGCCCACTGGCCATGATGTGGCAATCTGAATATCAAAAATTTTCTTTTAGCAAGACTTTGAAAGATAGCATGTTAATAATGAGCTTAAAATAAAAAAAAGGTAATATTAAAATACTTAAAGCCAACTTGGGCAAGGGGTGAATATAATTAAATATGTTTTATTTTTATTGATTTTATCAAGTAGGGAAATATGGTAGCCTGAATAACCCTCCAAACATACCAGTTTCTAATCCCTGGAACTTGTGAATGGTACTTTATATGGCAAAGGCTTTACAGCATGATTAAGTTAAGAATTTTATGTTGGGGAGATTATTCTGGATCATGTTGATGGAACCTAAATGCCATCGCATGGATTCTTTTTTGTTGTTGTTGTTCTTTTTTTTTAGTATTATACTTTAAGTTTTAGGGTACATGTGCACAACGTGCAGGTTTGTTATATATGTATACATGTGCCATGTTGGTGTGCTGCACCCATTAACTCGTCATTAACATTAGGTATATCTGCTAATGCTATCCCTCCCCCCTCCCCCCAGCATGTATTCTTATAACAAAGAACCGGGGGGAGATTTGAGATACACGATGAGGAGAAGGCAGTGTAACCACAGAGACTGAGATTAGAGTGATGTGGCCGCAAAGCAAGGAACGCCAGCAACCACCAGAGGCTGGAAGAGGCAAGGGATGGATTCTTCCCAAGAGCATCCAGAGAAAGTGTGGCCCTGCTGACACTTGGATTTCAGCCCAGTGAAGCAGATTTCAGACTGCTGACCTCCAGGGCTGTGAAAGAATAAATGTATGTTGCTTCAAGCTACCAATAGCTTGTATGGTAATTTATTATAGCAGCCACAGGAAGCTAATTCAGGAAGTATTAATACAAAATGGACGTTTTGTTACTAATACTGGTGTCTGTTTATAAAGTATGCAACTTTTTCTGTGTAAGTAAAAGGAAGGAGTAATAATATTAGGAGCTAATGCTAAATGTACCAAATAATAGCTGATAAAACAAGAATGTGAGGACAGGAAGAGTGGCTATTTTTGTAATCTCAGCACTTTGGGAGGCCAAGGCAGGAGGATCACTTGAGCCCAGATGGGCAACAGGGCAAGACCTCATCTATACAAAAAATAAAAATAATAATAAAATTAGCTAGGCATGGTGGCATGTGCCTGTAGCCCCAGCTACTGAGGAGGCTGAGGTGGGAGGATTGCTTGAGTCCAGGAAGACGAGGCTGTAGTGAGCCATAATCACACCACTGAATTCCAGCCTGTGTGACAGAGTGAGACCTTGTCTAAAAGAAAAAGAACAAGAAACTCCAGAAAAAAAATAGAATGTGAAGAGTACAAGGGTTTAGGAGTATGTTCAACAGTGATGAATAAGCCAAGTCCTTATAAAAGGAGACACTACTAGCCAGACTCAACACTCCTGACAAAGATTCTCTACCCAGCCAAACTAGCCAGGCTTTTCTGAGCCCTCTTCTCAACGAGCCCTCAACCTTGACCCATAAAGACTTGAACAAAACAGTTACATCATTTCTAAGAGCTCAAGTCTACAACCCTAGGATAACCCCAGGCTTCCTTAAAGTCCTGTCTGAAAAAAAGCTAAGGCTGCCAAAATAATTTACTGTGTGTTCTAGCTGACCCTGTCTCCCAGCTTCTAGTGGGAAGCTAGGAGCCTAACTTCAATAAGCACCAGTTAACAAACCCAGGTGGGTTTCACATGGACTAACTCCTTCTTACTTCTTTTTGTAATTTTTCACTTCTCTACTCTATGGAACCCCTGCTCACTCCCCCTCCCTAGTCCTGTATTCTCCCTTTTAAATGGCCAGTCACACTTGTACAAAGAGAAGTCATGTTCAGCTCACACTTTACTCGTTCCCTGTTGCAATCATATGTTACTAGTTAAAATTTGTGCTGACCCTTGTACAGCCGTGTGAGCAGATGGTCCCAGATACTCAGGGGGCTAAGGTGGGAAGATCACTTGGCCTAAGAGTTCAAGATGAGCCCAGGAAACATGGCAATACACACTTCCCATCCCCATCTCTATACTAAACAAACAAACAAACAAATATGTTCTTACAACTTAACTAGTGTCCAGCTCTGTTTCTCTTTGAAATCCCCACCCCGCCTGGGAATCGGATCTTCCAAGGCCCCAACTGATTATTACAGAATACTCAGGAGAGTTCCAGGGCACTTAACACTGCTAGAAGATCAGTTCTCCACATCATAAAGATCAGGCTTTGAGCTACACCATGCTGACCTAGTGAGATGCCAAATGAGGGAGAAACAATGCGTTATAATAAACAACAACAAAAAACACTATGAAAAACTAAAATCTTATTGAAGTGTCTGGTGGAGATTATTTACGAAAAGGGAGCAAAGGGGTAGCCACAAACTACCTGGAACCACACACCTATGTCAGGGTCCAACATGAACTCAGTGCTCAGTCACCCAGACCCCAGGGCCACGGCTGGAGGGTGCTGTTTCTACTTTAAAAGATCCATAAGATTTACAGAATTATAAAGAGTAAAGGGAGTAAAATTCCTGAGACCTGACAGGGGCAAACTCTAAGAAAAAGTGGGGCTAACAGGAAGACAAGAGAAGTGTAAGGTAACGGATGTGCTTTGGTCAAGGATAGGCCGAGGTAAACATCCAGAGTGACTCAGCCAGTTTACAGTGCAGGTGTATAACTCCACTTGTTATCACAGGTATGCACCCATCACACAGGAAGGCCATCATTTGGCTCTCAGCCACTATTGTCTGTAACAGGTATCATTGCCCTGCTGACACTGTACAAGCTCGCTCGCACTCGTGCCCCAAGAAAGAGAGTCAGAGTGGTTCATCTTTGCAGACGGACGGGCAGAGCCAGGGCACAGCCTAGTTCGCTCGAGCTCAGAGAAAGAGTTAAGCTGCTGACCCTGAAGGGAGAGCCGGCCATGCAGCTGTGTGTGGGATCTGCTGGATTAAGCAGCCGAGACAGGGCGAACAGTGTGAGAGAGCTAGTGTGACTAAGCTGCTGATGAGAGAGCTGCTGAATACAATTACCTTTCACCTGCCTACGGTCCTGAGTGTTCGTTCCACTATCTGTTCATCCACCCTCTCCCTTCGGACCTCAGCATGAGTGGAACCTGACCCCAAGCATAACATCTGGCATAGTCATGAACCTGACAAGGGACCATATGCTCGCACCACTGTGCCAGGGTCAGCACAAATTTTAATTGGTAACATATGATTGCAATAGAGAAAGAGTAAAGTGTGAACTGAACATGACTTCTCTTTATACAAAGGTGACTGGCCAATCTCAGCTGGTCTGGTTACAAAGGTAAATTTTCACTGCAAGCATCTTATTTCTTAAAGGTAAGCAGAGTTAGGGAAGCGTAGAAATTCAGCTATGACACGTAGGCATTACACCAGGTAACATCGATGCAGGCTGGGCTTTGGAATCATGTAAAACTGTGTGTGTCTTCCCTGTGTGCACAGGGGCTTAAACTATTCAAGTAGAAACTAATGCATTTGGCTTTGGATTCTAATTAAATATTTAGAGGTGTGTATACATTTGGGGAATTGTAATTTGTTAAATCCACATGCAGATATTTAGAGGATAATTGAAGGTTTACTAAGATTAGTGAAATGGCATGAAGTAGCATGTGGAGGGCCTCAGGAATTACAGAATCATCACCAGTGATAAACTCTAAGTGCTATGAGCTGTGATACACAGCTCTACTTCCTCCTTCTCAGAAAGAGAGAGAGGACAGGTGGAAGGGAGACTCCACGGTCCTGCAGGGAACAGATGGAGAGGGAAGGCTTGTCCATTCTCAGCACCGTGCCAAGCAATGGCTCTTGTGGCTGGGTGGAGAGAGACCCAGAACCAGAATCAGTCTCTCCCTGGGTCGGGGCAGGAGATGTGGAACACTGGTTTTATTTCTCTCTCTGGGCAAAGCCAGTGGGGAGAGATTCACAGGTCCCGGGTGCTGTCCCTCCTTCTTGCCACTGACTTGAATCTCCACTTGGCAACTTCTCAAAGATGTGCTCTTCCCAGGGCAGGACAAGGAAAAGCACCACATCAGCATTCAAAGGTCAAGCAGTGGAGTGGAGAAGGGGCCAGGGGTTCTGGGCAGCGCTGAGTGAGGGGCAGCAATGACACCAGAAAGCCTGCCTAACTCTGCCTGGTGGCAGTGAGCCCAGTCTCTGGCAACGCCCCTTTATAATGCCTGCAGGCAGAAGTGACTCCTGCCCACCCCCAGCCCTTTACTAAGGGCAATTAGGACAGTCCTGCATCTCTCTCACAAAGGGATGGTCTAAGGAAGACCTGGCTGTTCTCCACCACGCCAAACTCCGGGCCCCACACCCTGGATGCCACTCCGTGGCTTGCTGTGGACCACTCTCTAGTCATTTATAGGCATGCTGGAAAACTTGAAGAAAGGCATTCTCCCCGCGGGCTCAGGCTCTGCTTCACTGTCCAGCCTTGGAACTACCACTGGTCCACTCTGGACCTCAGACTCTTCATTTATACAATAAAGTGGTGGTCTCAATTATCCCCACAACCTTTACAGTTCCAGCTCCTCGGGGAGAGGGGATGCACACGTTCTGAGATGTCACTCCTCATTCAGAACTCACGTAGGGAGCCCCAGGAATAAGAACGCACAGCCCGCAACTTTAAAGGGCTGACAGTTTAACAAGGACTCAGAGACATAAGGTATAAAACTATCATGGTAGATACAGATCCTTGTACATTTGTTCAAACCAGGGTGAACCCTCAGGTGAACTGCGGACTTTGGGTGAAAATGATGTACACATGGAAGTTCATCAGCTGTAGTGAATGCGATGCCTGTGTCGGGGAACATGGGAAACTTCTATACCTTCCTCTCAAATTTTTCATGAGCCTAAAACTGCTCTAAAAACAAATTAGTCTTTGTCCAGGTACAGTGGCATGTGCCTGTAGTTCCAGCTACTCAGGAGGCTGAAGTGGGAGGATCCCTTGAGCTCAGGAGTTTGAGGCCAGGCTGGGCAACAGAGTGAGGTCCAGTCTCAAAAAAAAGAAAGAAAAAAAAGTCTTTAATTTTAAATAAATAATTGTAATTCGGCCAGGTGTGGTGGCTGATGCCTGTAATCCCAGCATTTTGGGAGGCCAAGGCAGGCAGATCACGAGGTCAGGAGATCGAGACCGTCGTGGCTAACATGGTGAAACCCCATCTCTACTAACAATACAAAAAATTAGCTGGGCCTGGTGGCAGGCACCTGTTGTCCCAGCTACTCGGGAGGCTGAGGCAGGAGACTGGCATGAACCCGGGAGGCGGAGCTTGCAGTGAGCTGAGATCGCGCCCCTGCACTCCAGCCTGGGCGACAGAGTGAGACTCCATCTCAAAAAAAAAGAAAAAAAAATAAAATTGCTAAAAGTAGATTTCCAATGTTCTCACCACAAAGAATAAGTGTATGAGGTAATGGATATATTAATTAGCTTGATTTAGTCTTTCCACAATGTCTACCTATATCAAGCCATTGTACTCTGAGAGACTTTCTCATGTGATGCCTCAGCTGTCACTGTGGACTTCCAATTTCAGGGTTTCCTGTGGGGAGGGGCTGCCTTCTTCTACCTCCAGGTAAGACTGATCCAGGCCAGCATATAGCAGTGCTCCATGAGGTGGAAACACCAGAGACACACAGGGATGGCCCAGGACCCTGGAAGCAGAGGGCGTCAGTTCTCGGTTCAGCCCCCTGACCACAGTCTGGGGCACACCCCTCACCGAGCCAGGTGACTGCATCTGCAGCTGCATTATGCACCTTCTGCTGGCATCTTGTGCAGAGCAAACAAGAGCAAAAAAATTAAAAAAGTAAAAAAAGTAAAATAAAAAAAAGTCAATCCTCTCTGTACATATGCGTAGCTGCATTCTTGGAAAATTCAGCCCAAAAGCTATGTTGCCAGATGCTTTGCATTCGTATGTAAGACTGATTTAGGTTCTAAGCCCCAATCATTATAACTTTTGTCCACCTAGACATTCTACAGTCTGTGAAAGATTGGGACAATCTTTTGTTGTTCAGGACCATCCCCAAAGTTACAAGATGTCTAGCATCCCTATTTCCTGCCCATGAAATTGCATGAGTCACCACTGCCACTAATAATAATTGTAATCATGCTAAAACACCTCCATAAATCACCAAAACACTTCCCAGGGGATTGCACCTCCCTGTTGACAACAACTACCTGATTGTTAAAGGGTTTTGTTAATGAAAAGGTCAGTATTGACAGAAATAAAAAAGAACGCATCCATCAGCTCTGATTGGTGGATGAGACGGGAGTTAATAGCCACAGATTTCCAAAAGAACATGTCAATAATTGTACAATCATGTCTTGGTGTATCAGTCACATGGATTAGATTATGTTGCCGTAGAAACCTCCACACCCTAAGTTCCAGTGGCCTAACAATGTCTCCCCCACGCTCCATGTCTGATTGGCATTGACAGAAGCACCCTGCTCATCCTTATGACTCAGCACCTCTGACTGGTAGAGCTTTACCTTACCACATGAGTTCATTTTCACAACTGCAGTAGAAAGAGGATGAGGTGAACCTCCTAAAGTGGCTTCTAAAGCTTCCCCTAAAAAGTGGCAAATGTCACTTCTTGCCAGAGCTAGTGTCAAAGTCATTTTGCGACACACAGAGGGTGGGGAAGTGCAATCCAACATACATTCAGGAGGGGAAAGAAATAAACATTTAGTGATTAGCTCTGATGACTACTCTGATGGATTCAAACTCAGTGCCCACGTACTAACTGTGCAACAAGTGCATATTGCTCGGCCTTTGCAAATCTGTTTCCTCATCAGTAATAGTAACAAAAATCATAGTAGCTGCTGCTTATTGGTCCCTTATTGTGTGTACTAAACATTTGACATTTCACTGGGTTGACAGAAAACTTACAGGGTAAATGAGGAACATAATATATTTTAACAGCAATGTCATGAAAACTAAACAAGATAATGTATGCAAACAGTAGCTGGTGCTTGAATAATTACAACTGAGTTCAGCTCTGTGAAAGGTACGGTAAGAGGTGGGGAAGAATAGGCCAGGAGGCTCAAGAGAAGACGTCAAAGACGTAGACATAACCTTCAAGAAGGATATGGGCATTTGGGAAGATAAGACATGAGTGCAGAAAACTGTAAGATATTCTTCTTGCTGTGGCAACTCTGAGGAAGAATACAAACAGGTTGTGAGGAAGCAGAAAAGGAAGAAAGGGGACACCAAGCTAGGGTGAAGAATAAGCTGAGGTATAAAGACAGATTGAGATTCCAGGGTCTAGGGGGAGGGACCCCTATGTCACATGTGGCGAGGGCATGGAGAAGAGTTTCTGAGAGTTCTCAGTTATGTTATGCTATCTTGAGTTATCCTCCCAATGGATCTGGGTTTTCCCACATACTTGTAATCAGCTCCCGCTGGCATCAACATTAACACTTGTCTAATCCAATCCCCTCTTTTTCAGATAAGAAGTCTGAGGCTCAGCAAACATATAAAATTTGGCTGAAGCTGAATGACAATTGATCTGGGTTTCCTAGTTCTCTCTAATGCCTGTTGCTCTCACCCCCACCAACTGCCATCCCTGGCCACTGTCCCATCTCCCCAGTTCTGAGATGAATATCCAGGAGTGTGCTCTTGTATCCATGCAGGGTCTGGGAGAAGATATTAATATATCCAGAGAAACACTGACCCTCCCTGGGGAACATTATACCCTCCTGCCTCATTGATGTCAGACATGGTCAAATGACTTGCTCCCATCAGTGCAACGTGAGCGGCAGTGATGTGTGTCCCTTTGTAGCAGAAGCTTTCAGGAATAGTCTGTGGTTTGCGGTGCTCCCTTTTCACTCCACATGACAACTAGTGATTCTTCATGCAGAGTCTTCTCCACCAGCTGGGTCCCAGGTTAAGATGACACAGAGTAGAAATGCAGCTTACTCAGATAACATAAACAAGAAATAAATATTTAATGTTTTAGCTTCTGGCACCTTGGGGTCACTTGCGATAGCACCATTACCTAGCCTATCCTGACTCACATATGTGACACAGCTATTTTCTCTCACTTGCTATCGACACTGCTGGCTAAAGACCATGAAGGTTCTATGCCACAGCATGTACCTTACACAAAAGTAAAAGGTATGTTTCTACTCTCTAAATCCTCAAGACGTGGGACACAGACCAGGAGTGGAAACAGTTGAAACACAAATGTGGAATACAACTGAGCAGGTGCATTCATCAACATGGGGCACATTCAAATGTCCTAATCTTCTGGGCTGTTCATGGATAATTTTCTTCAGAAGGGTCTTTTGAGAAAGGTTAGAATGGTGAAGGGTGGCACATCCAATTTTCTCCTTCTAAAGAAAATGGCAGGAAGGAAGAGAAGCCTGGGCAGGGGCAAAGCTGTTCCTTAATCACTGTCATCCCAGGCAAGAAGTTTTATTGCTACCCACCCTTAATAACATATGGATAGACGCAGGTCAAAGAGATGAAGAGATGTGAGGGTGTTAGTCATCCAGCCCCCAGCCTGGGATCACCCACCGCTTTCACAGCCCCTAGCAGCCACCCACCCAGGATAACAGGGCCTCATGGAGTGTCTGAGGGTTCTTGCCCATGTTCACCAGGGACAGATGGTGTTTGCATGTCTTTCAAGGACAGACCTGTATCATGCAAAGGTGAAGGAGGAAATAAAGACTCTGCAAACATACTCAATCCCCATTTATGACACCCATTTATATAGCTAGCAGCTGACCAATTCATCAAAATTCTGCCCTTCCTGAACACATAAAATGGGTGCAAAATAACAGGTCAAAGCTCAAGCGGCCAGGAAGGAACCTGGATGGGAGAGAATCAGGCTGAGCATAGAGTGGTGCCCATGGTAGAGCCCATCCTAGAGAAAGGCACCAGCTGCGCAGCTCCCCGTCAGACTTCAGGTTCCTCATGGACCCATCAATATCTGCTATGCTCCTTGTAAGAACTTGTGCATAAGGGAAGTATGAACGCTTACAGTTTTCTTATGCAGATTCTAAAGCCAAAGTGCCTGAGCTCTAAGCACCTAGAACAGTATGTGGCATGACTTGTTCTGAATAAGTGTCAGCTGCTGCTGCTACGATGCTCCCACCCATCACTTCCATAGAGCTTGTAGCCAGAAGCACTGACATGTTAGGGATAGTCCAAACCTGAGACTTGAAAAATGAGTGAAATTCAGATGGGGTTAAGGGCCCCTGGTCTATGGAACTCCCTCTTCCAGGAGCCCGGAGGGAAAAGGAAGAGGCAGATGTTGTGCGTGGAGAAGCCACCAGACCAAGCATGAGGATCTCAAACCTGAGTCCCAGCTTTTCTTTGGTTTAGCTCAAGAGGTAGGAATTGAACAGCCCCAACTTGGAGGACCAGGGATGAGGTGTCATCCTGTGGCCCACATTTGCTTAGCCAGAAATGAGAAAGGGTCAAAAATTACAACACATTAGTCTGAAGATCTCAATTGGCTATTAATTGCAATTATAATTTTATTTCATTTTATTGAGACAGGGTCTCACTCTGTTGCCCAGGCTGGAGTGCAGTGGTGCAATTATGGCTCACTGCAGCCTTGAACTCCTTGGGCTCAAGCAATTCTCCCACCTCAGTCTCCTGAGTAGCTGGGACTATAGGTGTACACCACCACACCTGGCTAATTTTGTTGTTGTTGTTGTACAGACAGGTTCTTGCTATGTTGCTCAGCTGGTTTCAAAGTCCTGGCCTCAAGCAATCCTCCCGCCTCACCCTCCCAAAGTCCTAGAATTATAGTCATCAGCTGCTCCCTGCAACCTATTTGCGATTCTAAAATGGGCAACACCTCATTCTATAAGATAGAATGAATGTTCCCATGACCTGAGCAGGGGAGGTTGGCTTTGTTGATGAAAAGAGTTAAACTCTGTAAAATATTTGAAAAGATTTATTCTGAGCCAAATATAAGAAATAAAACCCATGACACAGCCCCAGGGAGTCCTGAGAACATTTGCCCAAGGTGATTGGGCTACAACTTGGTTTTAGGAAGACGTAAGACACCAACTGATACATGTAAGATGTACATTGGTTTAGTCCAGAAAGGTGGAAAACTCAAAGTGGGGCGGGAGGTGGGGTTGGGGGAGAAGAGTGGGGGAAGGAGTAGTTTACAGGTCATAGATGGATTCAAAGATTTTCTGATTGGCAATTGGTTGAAAGAGTTAAGTTGTTTAAAGACCTGGAACCAACAGGAAGGAGTGTCTGGGTCAAGACAAGGGGTTATGGTCTGGGCGTATGGCTCACTCCTATAATCCCAGCACTTTGAGAGGCTGGGGTGGGCGGGTCACAAGGTCAGGGGTTCAAGACCAGCTTGGCCAACATGGAGAAACCCCATCTCTACTAAAGATACAAAAAATTAGCCGGGCATGGTGGTGCATGCCTGTAATCCCAGCTACTCGGGAGGCTGAGGCAGGAGAATCACTTGAACCCGGGAGGCGGAGGCTTCAGTGAGCCAAGATCACGCCACTGCACTCCAGCCTGGGCAACAGGGCAAGACACCATCTCAAAAAAAAAAAAAAAAGACGAGGGGTTATGAAGACCAAGATTTTTATCATACAGATCAAATCTCCAGGTAGGAGATTCTCAACAGAATGTAGATTTTCCCTACAAAAAAATAGCTGTACCAGGCCTTTTTAAAATATGTCAAAGATACATATTTTGGGGTAAAATAATTTGATTTCTTTCAGGGCCTGCTGTTATGTTGGTATGTTATTGCTATAAAGAGCTACTATGTCAGTCTTCAGGTCTCTGTTTTAATGTTAATGCTGGTCAGTTGTGCCTGAATTCCAAAGAGAGTACGTTATAATGAGGCATGTCCAACCTCCGCTTCCCATGATGGCCTGAACTAGTTTTTCAGGTTAACTTCAGGACGTCCTTATCCAAGAGGAGGGGTCTGTTCAGTTGGTTGGGGGCTTAGAATTTTATTTTTGGCTTACAGCTTTATAAACGGAAAAGGGCTCCGGGAAGCAGAAGAGAGAGCTAAAAGAGAATTGGTCATTTCAAAGTTAGTTTCCTTGTAAAAGTTAAAGCAAAGGGTACTTTCTCATCATGTCAGCTAAAATTGGCTTGTTTGAGGATCTATTACCTCTCTCTCTTGATTTCCTGGCAAGTCAGATAAACAGCTTAGTTTGAGCTTGGTATTGTGGACCTTCAGCATGAGTGACTTCACTTTGGTTTGGTCTATTGGGCTCAGTGGCAGGGGCTCAGTCTAAACCAATGGCCTCCTATAAATTTTATTCGATGGGAGTTAAATAAAGGGAATGTGTGTTAAATAAAGAGAACATGTGGAATGGCTCCAGTATCTCTGTCAACCCCAAGGCCTAGATGGCAGCAGAGCCTCACACTGGACAAGGCGAGAGATCAATAAAGGGTATTCAGACTGGACGGGCCTCTTCTGGTTAAAGAATGGCCCAGGGGCAAAGGTTTGTGTTGGGTCCTGAAACCTGAAAGAGAGGTTTAGACAGCCTTTTCTGAGCAATCTGCACACCCTCTTATCTTAGAATAGTTCATTTATTGGTGCCATGTGTTTAGCAGAACACAAACGGCTCCAAGACATATCCTTGGTATAGCTGATTTACAGAGGAGTTATTGGGAATTAACTGTCTGGAGCCATAGCTGTCGATATCAGCCCTCAGTATGACTTAACATCATCATCTGTGGATCTTTACACATATATCCGTGTCCAGTTTATCCTCAGAGATTCTGATCTAAGCTGCCAGGAGAGGGGCCTTAGCAACTTTATTATTTAAGTTGGGCCTGGAATGGTGAACGCATCGGTAAAATGGCAGATGTATAAGAAGTGCTCAGAAACGTGCCGAGCATTGTGTGGTCCAGCAGGGATCCCTGCAGGTGACTCTGCTCTTTCAGGGCAGCCATCATCCTTGCAACCTCCCAGGAAATGGCTCCTCAGGGGAACCAAGATCCATGCCCTGCACCCCGCCCAACTCAGCAAGATGGAAACTCTACTCTAGAGTGTTACAGCCAAGAACACACGGCTTCCTCTCCGCAGTGCTCCCAGTCAGGGGACAACTCAGCAAGATGGAAACTCTACTCTAGACTGTTACAGGCAAGAACACACGGCTTCCTCTCCGCAGTGCTCCCAGTCAGGGGACAACTCAGCAAGATGGAAACTCTACTCTAGACTGTTACAGCCAAGAACACACGGCTTCCTCTCCCCAGTGCTCCCAGTCAGGGGACAACTCAGCAAGATGGAAACTCTACTCTAGACTGTTACAGGCAAGAACACACGGCTTCCTCTCTGCAGTGCTCCCAGTCAGGGGACAACTCAGCAAGATGGAAACTCTACTCTAGACTATTATAGCCAAGAACACACAGCTTCCTCTCCCCAAAGCTCCCAGTCAGGGGACAAACTTCTGTCAACCTACATTGACAGAGAGGGAGACTCTCTAACGAAAATGATGTTTATTTAGGAATAGAATTGCAATGGGAATATATGTGCCATAGAAAACTATGTGTGTATTCAGGGAGGTAACAGAAGACAGTGGTTTTTAAAGGAAAAATAAGGAGGATTACATAATTGTTTTGAGATAACTGTCCTTGGCTATAAGAATCAAATAATAAAGGTGGTGCCAGTCTGAGGTTGGACAAGCAGTTGCTGGGCAGATGTCCTCGCAGAATTATATTTTTGTGTAAGGCTGTGATGGTCTTTGTGCAAGGCTGTGGTTTTTGCAGAGCTTTTTGTGATAGTTCCTGTTATCAGGCATTCGTGCGTGAGAACCCTCTGTTCACGGCCTTTTCTGGCTCTTTTTGTCGGAGCTTTGTTAACAAGGGACTTGTTTTGATTCTGATAACTTTCACACTTTCTGGAGCAGAAAGTTAGCATGTCTCATCCTACCCCCAGTTTCTTCCTACTGAAGATAATAAATTCCAGGTGAGTATGGCTGACAAGTGAAGACTCCCTTCTTCCTTGCCTCTCCTAGTCATGGGATACAGGCTCGACCTTGAGAATACTGCACATACTGCAAATACTGAGGCCCCAATCACCACTGCCCTAGTTCACTGGCAGCAGTCCCATGCCAATAAAGGCCAACCTGAGAAATTCTAGGGCTGCTGCACACCATTCTACCAAGTGCTCAGCTCCTAAAGTAGAGGCGTCACTCAGGAGAAGCATGCCATTTTCTCCAGAGCCATGGCTCAGAGATTTTACCCAGGGGCAGAAGCAGGCATAGAACAGAGAGCTCCAGCTTTCTACTCAAAGGAACAGACCTCACTTATAACTGAGTCTGAAGTTCAAGTCTAAGAGTCCTCTAAATATAGGGGGAATAAAACAGTGGCGGTTGCGGTGAAAGGCGATTGGGAAGCAATTAGTAGATTCATTGACGATTGCTATGGACTGAATGCTTGTGTTCCCCCAAAATTCATATGTTGAAATTATAACCCCCAATGTGATGATATTAGGAGATGGGGCCTTCGGAAGGTCATTAGATCATGAGGGTGGAGCCCTCATGAATGGAATTAGTGACCTTATAAAAGGGACCCCAGAGAGCTCTCTCACCTTCTTTCCACCATGTGAAGATACAATGAGAAGTCAACAGTCTGCAACCTGAAGAGGGCCTTCACCAGAACCTGACCATGCTGGCATCCTGATCTTGGACTTTCAGTGTCCAGAACCGTGAGAAATAAATTTCTTTTGTCTATAAGCCACCTAGTTTATAATATTTTGTAATAGCACACCAAGCTGACTAAGACAGAAATATAGGCTAAACTGTAGGCCGGCTGGTTTGCCAGAGAGAAACAAGACACCAGACAACTACAAAGAGCCCTCCTGGAGTCAGAACATGTTTCAGTGACTTTGGTAACTGTCCCTACAAAGGAGCCTGAATTTGATTAGCTAAGCCTATAGGGCAATGGATGCCCAGAGCATTGTTGAAAACAGCTGAGCAATCAGCCTGCAATTAGAGAGCTTAACAGCTGAGTAAGTTCAGGAATAGATAGTCAAAAAGAAATCTGCCAAAACCACCATCATCCCACAATGACTGTGGGCATACCAAAGGTTGTGTCCTGTGAGGAGCAACATTAGAGGCTTAGAGGCTTCCCACTGCAGGGGGTGGGGAAGAATGAGTGTGGTAGTGGGAGAATAGGCTTCAGGAAAATAATCCAGCTAATCACTACACAAATAAGCAGGCAAATAACAATAACAAGCCCACCTGAGGTGGCGGGCACACCCGGAGTTGCTTCAGTACGTGATCTAAAATGTCCAGTTTCCAACAAACGTTATGAGACATGCAAAGAAACAGAAAATATGGCCCATAAACTAAAGAAAAATCAGGAAACAGAAACTGCCTCTATGAATGATATATTAGTCAGGATTGTCCAGGAAAACAGAATCAACAGGATGTTTAGAGACAGAGAGAGAGAGAGAGAGAGAGAGAGAGAGGTTCATTTTAAAGGATTTCTTCATGCAGTTGTGGGGGCTTGGCAAGTTCAAATGTGCAGAGTAGGCTGGCAGGGCTGAAAATCCAGGGAAGACTTGTAATTTGAGTCCAAAGGCAGTCTTCTGGCAAAAGTCTTCCTTCTTCCAAGGAGGTTAGTCTTTTTCTATAAAGGCTTTCCACTGATTTGAGGAGGCCCACCCATATCATAATGGGTAATCTGCTGTACTCAGTCTACAGATTTAAATATTAGTCTCATCCAATATATAACTTCACAGAAATTTCTAGAATAATATTTGACAAAATATTTGGATACCGTGTGGCCTAAGTTGACACATAAAATTCACCTTCACAAGTTACCAGATGTCAGATTTAACAAAGTTTCATGGCTCACACCTGTAATCCCAACACTTTGGGGGGCCAAGGAGAGTGGATCACCTGAGGTCAGGAGTTCGAGAACAGTCTGGCCAACATGAAGAAACCCCGTCTCTATTAAAAATACAAAATTTAGCCAGGCGTGGTGGCCCATGCCTGTAATCCCAGCTACTCAGGAGACTGAAGCAGGAGAATTGCTTGAACCCAGGAGGCAGAGGTTGTGGTAAGCCGAGATCACACCATTGTACTCCAGCTTGGGAAAAGATTGCGAAACTCCATCTCAAAAAAAAAAAAAAAAGTCTTCAAAGTAGTTCAAAGAACTAAAGGAAACTTGATTAAACAACTAAAGGAAGGTATGATGATAATATCACATCAGATAGAGAATATCAATAGATAGAAATTATTTTTTAAATGTAAATTCTGGAGTTGAAAAGTACAATAGCTGAAATAAAAAATTTAGCAGAGTTCAACATTGGACTTGAATTTGCAGAAGAAAGAACAAACTTGAAGATTGACTGATAGAGATTTTACAATCTTAATAACTGGCAGAATAAAGGATATAAAAATGAACAGAGCAACAGGGGGGAAGTCCCAAAAGAAAAAAAGAGAGAGAGAAGGAAGAGAAAGAAGCAGCAAAAAATATTCAAAGAAATAATGACTAAAAACTTCCTAAATTTATTGAAAAACATTACATATACAGGAAACTCTCTCAACAAACTGTCTCTTACTTGGGTTTCCAAACTGCTGGTCTACCCTACACATTTTGGACTTTGGAATATTATTACAAATTTTTTTAAAAATCAATAGTTTGGAGCTCTTTGCAGAATGTTTATGATGGGTAGCCTGCAAAAACTTCACCCTAAGATTTCCTCTAACTTTAATTGGTAGATGTTAGAAAACGTTACTTAAATACTATTAGAAGTTTTCTGCATCAGCAAACCTGAGACTTCTTTGTTCTGTGACAGCTGCTACAATGGTTGCTTCAGGGAAAATGAGTAAAGAAACTCTCATTGAGTGGTCCCCTTCTCCTATTAGGGTGGCACTGTGTGAGTTGGTGAGAGGGCCTTTCTCACTGCCTTTTCCCAGAATTTCTCTGTAAGCTAATGACCAGGTATCTAAGCAGGAGTTTCCCTTGTAAAGCAATGGGCATAGAAGGTCACTACATGTGACTGGCTTTAAGGGCAGAGAGCTTGCTGGGGAAGGTGGAGGAGAAAACAGAATGTGACAAGGGGTCTTCTGTGGGGGCATATGTTAAGTTCTACATCCTATACCCCAGGAGTAGCCAATGTATCAGAAGCTGCATGTCAAAGTCTGGAGTTTCACTGATGAGTGACTCTGCTTTACTGATACCAGGGTGTCATTGCGTCTAAACCCTCTCAGCTTACTGATCAAGGAGATATATGAGTGTGCATTAACACTTATGTATACACATATTTATAAATATTTGTATATGTAACTCTCTATCCATATTAAGCTAAACATTAATTCATACCACTGTCTCCAATTTTAATCCATTAACATGTGAGTCCTTCTAGCCCCCTCCCCTTGTTTATCTGTAACCTGGCTTTCACTATCTGCCATCCATTTACTTAATTGTTGAATTCTAGCATACATGTATAGCAGTATCAGAATTGTTACCTCCATGGGAAACAACTTTATTTACTGGAGTTCAGTGCTTATGAACAGTTTCTTTTGCCTTTTGTCTTACAGATTCTACTAATTTCCAAATTTGCTTAGGGGTCAGGTGCAGTGACTCACACCTGTAATCCCAGCACTTTGAGAGGCCAAGGCGGGAGGATTGCTTGAGCCCAGGAATTTGAGACCAGCTTCAGCCACTTGGTGAAAACCCATCTCTACAAAAAAATACAAGAAAAATTAACCAGACATGGTGGCACATGCCTGTAATCCCAGCCACTCAAAAGGCTGAAGTGGGAGAATTTGTTGAGCCTGGCCGGGCACGCTGGCTCACGCCTGTAATCTCAGCACTTTGGGAAGCCAAGGCAGGCGAATCACGAGGTCAAGAGATCGAGACCAACCTGGCCAACATGGTGAAACCCCGTCTCTACTAAAAATACAAAAAGTAGCTGGGCGTGGTGGTGTGTGCCTATAATCCCAGATACTTGGGAGGCTGAGGCAGGAGAATTGCTCGAACCCGGGAGGTGGAGGTTGCAGTGAGCCAAGATTGCGCCACTGCACTCCAGCCTGGTGACAAAGCAAGATTTCATATCAAAAAAAAAGATAAAAAAATTGTTGAGCCCAGGACGTTGAGGCTGCAGTAAGCTGAGATTGCACCACTGCACTCCAACCTGAGCAACAGAATGAGACCCTGTCTCAAAAAAACAAAACAAAAAATAGCTTAGGTAGGTCAGCATCTTACTCCTCCAGCCCCTTGAGTGAGGTTGCCTCATTAAACGTTTAGATTACTTTGTCACAGTGTTCATTTCTTCTTGTGATTCTCCCCACCTCATAAATGATTTTTTAAATTTCACATACATTAAGGTAATTCTTTGTGCTCTAAAACTCTATAGAATTTGACAAATACTTAACGTTTTGTATTCACCATTATATTATCACACAGAAGTTTCACTGCCCTATAAATTTTCCTGTGCCTCACCTATTTAACCTTCACTTCCTTCCCCAGAACCTCTGGCATCTACTAATGTGTTTAAGGTCTTTTAAGTTTTATCTTTCCCAGAATGTCATATAATTGGAAGCATATATTATACAGTTTTTTTTCTGGCTGGCTTCTTTCACTTCATAATATGCATTTAAGATTCTTTTATTTTCATAATTTGATATCTCATTTCTTTTTATTGATAAGAAGCTATTCCATTGTATGGATGCAACACAGTTTGGTTATCCGTTCACCTATTAAAAGACATCTTCCTTGCTCCCAGTTGTGGGTGATTATGAATCAATCTGTTACAAATATTTGCATGCAGGTTTTTGAGTGGACATACATTTTCAAATCAGTTGGGTAAGAATTTAGGAACGTGATTGCTGGATTACATGGTAAGATTATGTTTAGTTTTGCAAGAAAGTGTCAAATTATCTCCCAAAGTGGTTGTACCATTTTACATTCCCACTACCTGTGAATGTGAGTTTATTTCGCTCTGCAAACTTTCCAGCAGTCAGTATTATCAGTTATTTGCATTTTGAATATTCTAATAAGTGTGTAGCGGCATCTCACTGCCGTTTTAATTTCCAATCCCCTACTGACATATCATGTTGAGCACCGTTTCATATTTTTATTTTCCATCTGTATATCTTTTTTTAAGGTGTCTGTTCAAATCTTTTGCCCACTTTTGAACTGGGTTGTTTTCTTGTTGAGCTGTAAGAACTCTCTGTACATTTTAAATACAAGTTCTTTGTATATTTTGATATTATCAGATGTCTATTGTTCAAATTTTTCTCACAATTTGTGGTTTATCTTTCCTTCCTTTGAACCATGTCTTTAGCAGATCAGAGGTTTTCAATTTTAGCAAGTCCAACTTGTTAATTTTTTATTCCATGGATAGTGCCATTGAAAAACACATCATCAAACCCAAAGTCATGCAGATTTTCTCCTATTTTTTTTCAAGTAGCTTTATAGTTTGGCATTTTATGTGTATGTCTATTTTCAGCTAACTTTTGTATAAAGTGTAATGTCTCTGTCTAGGTTCATTTTTTTGCATACAGTTGTTCAATTTATCCAGCACTTTTTACTGAAGGCGGCTATCTTCTCTCCATTAAATTGTCTTTGCCCTGTCATCAAAGTTCAGTTGACTATATTTATGTGGATCTATTTCTCTTCTCTATATTCTGTTTCACTGATCTGTGTGACTATCTTCAATTGATAATATGCTGTCTTGATTACTATAGCTGTATAATAAGATTTGAAATTGGGTAGTGTCGTTCCTCCAAATTTGTTCTTCTTCTTTAATATTGTGTTGGCTACTCTAGATCTTCTGCCTTCTCATATAAAGTTTAGAATTAGTTTGTTGCTATCTACAATAACCTTCTGGGATTTTGATTGGGACTGCATTGAAAAAAGCCAGGGAAAATCTGTATTCCATTTTAAAAATTATTTTTAATTATGGTAAAATACACATTACACCAAATTTACCATCTTAGCTATTCTTAAGTGTTCAGTAAGTGGTGTTAAGTATATTCTCATTTAGCACGCAACCAAACCACAGAACGTTTTTATTTTGCGAAATTGAAATTTTATACCCACTAAACAAGACTTTCCCATTTCACCTTTTTCCCCTGGTAACTATCATTCTACTTTCTGCCTCTATGAATTTGTCTTCTAGGTATCTCATGTAAGTTGAATCATACAATATTTGTCTTTTGTGACTGGCACATTTCACTTAGCATAACTTCCTCAAGTTAGTCATTGACTTCTTATGTTAGTCTTGTATCCCATGACCTTGCAATGCTAACTTACTTCCATAAATTGGTTTGTTTTGTTTGTCAATTCTTTGAGATGTTCTACATAGAAAATTGTATCTTCTGCAAATAGAGTTTAATTTTTTCCTTTCTAACCTGTAACTTTTTTCTCGTTCTTGTGTTATTGCACTACCTAAGATTTCCAATACAGTGTTGAATAGGAGTGGTAATAGAGGACAACCCTGCTTTGTTTCCAAGCTCAGAAGAGCATGCCATTTTCATCATTCTGTGTGATGTTAGTTAGCTGTATGTTTTCTGTAGCAATTCTATGTTAAAGAAGTTTTACTAATTCATAATTTGCTGAGAATTTTTATCATAAATGGGTGTTTGATTTTGTCAAACTTTTTTTCTGAATCAATATAATCATATGGCTTTTCTTCTTTAGTCTGCTGATGTGCTAAATTATATTGCTCAGTTTAGAAACCTGAATCAGTCAGCCGGGCGCGGTGGCTCACGCCTGTAATCCCAGCACTTTGGGAGGCTGAGGCGGGCAGATCACCTGAGGTCAGGAGTTCAAGACCAGCCTCAACATGGAGAAACCCCATCTCTACTAAAAATACAGAATTAGCCGGGCTTGGTGGTGCATGCCTGTAATCCCAGCTACTCGGGAGGCTGAGGCAGGAGAATTGCTTGAACCTGGGAGGCAGAGGTTGCGGTGAGACGAGATCGTGCCATTGCACTCCAGCCTGGGCAACAAGAGCGAGACTCTGTCTCAAGAAAAGAAAGAAAGAAAGTTAAATCAGTCTTACATACCTGAAATAAATTCCACTTGGTCATGGTATAAAATGTTTTTACACACTGTTTGCTTTGATTTGCTAATATTTTGTTGATAATTTTTACATTTATGCTCATGAAAAATACTGGTCCATTGTTTTCCTTTCTTTGGTGTCTTTATCTGATTTTGACTAGGATAATGCGGGCCTCATAGAATGTGCTAGGAAGTGTTCCACTGCTTCTATGTTATGGAAGAAATTGTGGAAAACTAGTATCAGTTATTCCTTCAATGTTTGATATAATTTACCAGTGAAACCACCTGGACCTGATGTTTTCTTTTTTGGAAGGTTAATAATTAATGATTTAATTTATTTAATATATAGAACTGTTCAGCTGATCTATTTCTTCTCTGTGAATTTCGGCAATTTGTATTTTTCAAGGAATCAGTCCTTTCATCAAAATCATCCAATTTGTGAGCATGGATTTATTCATATTATCTTTTTATTATCATTCTAATGTCCAAGGGATGATTAACATTCTTTCATTTATAAAATTGATAATTTGTCTCCTCTCTGTTTTTCTTGGTTAGCCTGAATCATTAATTTTACCAGTCTTTTCAAAGAATCAGCTTTCGATTTTATTAATTTTTCTCTATTGTTTCTTGTCTTCAAATTCATTCATTTCTGCTCTAATTTTTATTATCCCTTTTCTTCTGCTTCCTTCAGGCTTAATTTGTTTGTCTTTCTCTAGTGTGCTAAGGTGGAACGCTGGGTTATTGATTTTAGCTCATTTTCTTTTCTAATGTAGACATGTTACTAAAACTTTCCCACTATGCACTCTTGCTGCACCCCACACATTTTGACAAGTGGCATTTTCATTTTCATTTGTCCTAAATATATAAAAACTTTTCTTTACACTTCTTGATTCCTTATTTAGAACAGTTTTTGTTTCATTTCCGAATATACTGTAATTTTCCAGCTTTCAGTTATTGATTTCTGGTTTAATCCCACTACGGTCAGAAAACATACTTTGTATGATTTCTATTAATTTTGTCAAGATACTATTTTTATTATGGTAAAAAAAAAGTGGATAACACAAAATTTACCATCTTAAGCATTTTTAAGCTTACCATTCTGGGTTTTTTTTGTTTTTTGGGTTGGTTTGTTTTTGTTTTTGAGACAGGGTCTTGCTCTGTTATCCAAGCTGTAGTGAAGTGGCATGATCTCGGCTCACTGCAACCTCCACCTCCCAAGTTCAAGCGATTCTCCTGTCTCAGCCTCCTGAGTAGCTGGGATTACAGGCATGCGCCACCATGCCTGGCTAATTTTTATATCTTTAGTAGAGACGGGGTTTCACCATGTTGGTCAGGCTGGTCTCGAACTCCTGACCTCGTGATCCGCCCGCCTCAGCCTCCCAAAGTGCTGGGATTACAGGCGTGAACCACCGCACCCAGTTACCATTCAGTTTTGCTAACAATATTTACATTGCTATGCAACCAATCTACAAAAGAAGTTTTTATCTTGTAGAACTGGAAATTTTTACCCATTAAACAACACCCCATTTTCCTCTCCCCAGATTCTCTAGTTACCACTGTTCTACTTTCTGCTTTTGTAAGTTTGACTATTCTAGATACCTTATGTAAGTGTAATCATACAGTATTTGTTCTTTTGCGACTGGCTTGTTTCACTTAGCAAAATGTCCTCAAGGATAGTCTATGTTGTAGCATATGTCAGAATTTCCTTCCTTTTTAACGTTAAATAATATTCAATTGTATATAACGTATTTTGTTTGTCCATTTATCTGTCAATTGACATTTGGGTTGCTTTTACCTCTTAACTATTGTGAATAATACTGCTTCAATATGGGTGTGCAAATATTTCAAGAGTCTGTTCTCACATTGCTATAAAGAAATACCTGAGACTGGGTCATTTATAAAGAAAAGAGTTTTAATTGGCTCGTAGTTCTGCAGGCTATACAGGAAGCATAGTGGTTTCTGCTTCTGCGGAGGCCTCAGGAAGCATCCAATCATGGCAGAAGGCAATGGGGGAGCAAGGCCAGGTGACTTGCTTTGGCCAGTGAAAGGTGAGTGAAGGGACAAGTCTTGGGACCCCTGTGCACTGTTTGCCACATCCCTTCCACCTGCCGGAAAGATGAGGTTCTCAAACTCCAGGGTACACTAGAATCACTCTAGGGGTTTGTTGAAAGCTGCTGGGGTCCACTCCCAGCATTTCTAATGCAGTATTGCTGTGGGCAGAGGAGTGGAGGTAGGGGGCTGAGAATTTGCATGTCTAACAAGTTTCTGGTGATGTTTATATTGTTGATCTAGAGAACACATTTTAGGAACTAGAGTCATAGAAGGATCCTCCCTGGGCCAGGGTCTCTGAGTGATACCTTCCTATTGAACCATGTTTAAGATGAAGGTTGGGTGGGGAATAAACATTTTTCTGTTCCCATTTCACTGTGGGATTTTGATGTTTATAGGTGAAAGAACATATCCCACACAGAAGCATAAATCTCTCACAACCAGCAGGACCTCGAGAAAGAAACACCATTTTGATTAGAGGGGCTTTAGTTTTCCCTGGGCTCCAGGTACACAAATCCACACGGAATTAATGGTGCAGAGCTGTAGAGAGGCTCTCAGCCATGTCCTAAGGCACATTCTCCTCAGTCCTCTCCCACCTGGTACATAGGATACCTACTTCCAGGGGGAAATCCAAGATTTCCTGGGAAGACAACTCCTTTCCCCTGTGCCTTCCACGGGTCCTGCCTATAGCTTGAGTTCACTCACAGAATCTGGTTTCCTATTGTTGGATATCAAACACTGTTGGAGCCAACAGAGGGTGGGACCTGTCTGAAACAAGACTCATCAGTGATCTTCCTGATCAGAGCCATAAACCTCTGGCCGGCAGTCAGCTGAAGGATTCAGGCAGCACTGGGAACAGCCACTTCACCTAGGAACTTGGAGATAGGTCAAGATAAGGAGGGCTGTAAATCTAACTCGGGCTCAGCTAGAGTCCTGGCACGTATGAGTATCATTTGTGCTACCAGCCCGGTCACCTACGAGGCATTCCTCTTCTTGTCTCTGATGTCCCGGTCACCTACGAGGCTTTCCTCTTCTCATCTCTGATGTCCCGGTCACCTACGAGGCTTTCCTCTTCTCATCTCTGATGTCCCGGTCACCTACGATGCTTTCCTCTTCTTGTCTCTGATGTCCCGGTCACCTACGAGGCTCTCCTCTTCTCATCTCTGATGTCCCGGTCACCTACGAGGCCTTCCTCTTCTTGTCTCTGATGTCCCGGTCACCTACGAGGCTCTCCTCTTCTCATCTCTGATGTCCCGGTCACCTACGAGGCCTTCCTCTTCTTGTCTCTGATGTCCCGGTCACCTACGAGGCTCTCCTCTTCTCATCTCTGATGTCCCGGTCACCTACGAGGCTTTCCTCTTCTCATCTCTGATGTCCCGGTCACCTACGAGGCTTTCCTCTTCTCATCTCTGATGTCCCGGTCACCTACGAGGCTTTCCTCTTCTTATCTCTGATGTCCCGGTCACCTACGATGCTTTCCTCTTCTTGTCTCTGATGTCCCAGTCACCTACGAGGCTTTCCTCTTCTCATCTCTGATGTCCCGGTCACCTACGAGGCCTTCCTCTTCTTATCTCTGATGTCCCGGTCACCTACGAGGCTTTCCTCTTCTTGTCTCTGATGTCCCGGTCACCTACGAGGCTTTCCTCTTCTCATCTCTGATGTCCCAGTCACCTACGAGGCCTTCCTCTTCTCGTCTCTGATGTCCCGGTCACCTACGAGGCTTTCCTCTTCTCATCTCTGATGTCCTGGTCACCTACGAGGCTTTCCTCTTCTCGTCTCTGATGTCCTGGTCACCTACGAGGCCTTCCTCTTCTCGTCTCTGATGTCCCGGTCACCTACGAGGCTTTCCTCTTCTTGTCTCTGATGTCCTGGTCACCTACGAGGCCTTCCTCTTCTTGTCTCTGATGTCCCGGTCACCTACAAGGCCTTCCTCTTCTTATCTCTGATGTCCCAGTCACCTACGAGGTTTTCCTCTTCTCATCTCTGATGTCCCAGTCACCTATGAGGCTTTCCTCTTCTCGTCTCTGATGTCCCTCCCTCCAGCGTGTATTTTCACGTCTCTCCTCGTCTCTGCTGCTTCACTTTTGTCACTTTCTCCAAGTCTTTTGGGTTTGTCTAGCTGCAGATGTTTTCTCTCATCCTCATCATTTATGCTTCCAGATCAGTTTTCCTGTCATTCTTATTCAGCTTTTATCTCTGTCACATTCTCTCTGAAAGTGTCGTTAAATATATATACATATGTATGTATATACATTTTTTTTTTTGAGACGGAGTCTCACTCTGTCACCCAGGCTGGAGTGCAGTGGCGCGATCTCAGCTCACTGCAAGCTCCGCCTCCCAGGTTCACGCCATTCTCCTCCCTCAGCCTCCTGAGTAGCTGGGGCTACAGGTGGACGCCACCAAGCCCGGCTAATTTCTTGTATTTTAGTGGAGAAGGGGTTTCGCCATGTTGCCCAGGCTGGTTGCCAACTCCTGAGCTCAGGTAATCCGCCCGCCTCAGCCTCCCAAAGTGCTGGGATTACAGGCGTGAGCCACCGTGCCCGGCCCTAAATATATTTTTAACCAACCCAGAAAAAATTAAAAAGTATATCCCAGGTGGCAGGTGAACTAAATACCTGGTTCACTTTATTTAACCTCGGGTTTGTTTTTGTTAGTGTTATGAAGACGTAGCTCCCCTCCTCCTAAGGCCTCATGCCCTTTTCTGTTAACAGTCCCTTCCAATGGGGCAGCCATGGTCACTATTGCCAGATGCAACTGTTTGAGGGAATGGAGAGGATTGTAATCTGAGGCTTCTGAAATTGTAAAGTGAAAGAGGAGATCTGGTAAAAGGGGCGAAGATCAGCTGAAGGAAGGTCAGATGTGAGTACAGCAGCAACGGTTACATTCCCACCCTGGGCTGCAGAGGCAGGTGGGCTGCAGAGGCAGGTGGGCTCCTGGCCTCTCTCTCCAAGTGGAGTGGGAGGCTGAAACCATAGCAACACTGAGGTTAGCACACAAGGCAGGTGACATTAAGCAACATCCTCTCCTTCTTCCCTAAACCACAGCAGCCCCTGCGAACCTGTACAGCTCCATGAGCCTCCTCCAGCCTTCACTGCTGCCCCAGGCCCCCAGGCCCTTAAGAATTCCTGCTGGAAAAAAGCAGGCCGTGGCACAACTGAGATTTCCTTGTGTCAGTGTGAAGATGATCCAGCTCTTCTGCATGTTATTGCAGAAATCATAGAGACGAAACAGGATGGGGTGGCCTGGAAGGAGCATGGAAGATGAAGCCGCAGCTGAGGAAGAAGGCAGCTCTGCTGCTCCACTCTACCCTAGACCAAGAAGGTTCCTCTTTTCTAAATGGGGAAGAAACTCATTTTGACACTCCCTTCCTCCTATGTTTGAATAAATCAAGAAGCGTATCTGCACTGTGCAGTGAAAGCCACCTGCCTGCCTGGAGAAAGAGAAACTACTGCCCAGCACTCTGAGCTCTTCGACCTCTGGACGATGATCATCTCACACCCAAGCAGAAATATCCAGCAGCCCTCTGCTCCCTCCGGGCTGGGTCCTAACCAACTCTGGACTTGCTCAGGTTTCTCATGCTCCAACCCCTAACCCTGTCTGCAAACACATGCACCATTTCACATCATCCATCAGAACTCTTCGCATGGCCCAGCCTCCACTGCCAGCTGTATAATTTTAGTGCTTTAGATAACCTTAGAGGTTATCTACTGAGTCTGTCCACACTTCCGGCAGATTGGAACACTGAGGCCCAGAGGAGCTGAGTGAATTGTCCCTGTGCACATAACCCCTTGTGGCAGGGGCAGGCCAAGGGCAACCCTCTCTGAATAGTGTGGTCAGTGTTTTTAACACCGAAGCTCTCAAAAGAACTAATGTTTACTGAGCACCTAGAATGAGGGTGACCATATGTCCTAGATCACCCAAGTCAGTCCCAGGCCACACCTGCCCCCTTTCACACTCAGCTGTCCCAATTTAGACTATGCATCACGTATGGTCCCTGTACATATGTCTATTGTGTTATGTGTTGAGTGAGATGGAGTCAAGGATGATACTGACCCCTTCTTCTGAGGACTTAGGACCAACAAGAGACATGTCTACAACAACCGGCCCATTCTTCAGTAAGTCAAAAGAGCCATGGGGAACTTGAGAGTGATAAGGATTAATTCAGACTGGGCTAGAGAGGTGCCTGTGGTTGAATCCCAGCTCATGTGGACTTTTGACCACATGATCTGGTCCTCAAACCACAGGCAGCAGTTTGACAGTTTGAGAAGGGAGGAAACTTGTGCCAAGGGTAGCACAAGCAGAAGTAAGTCAGTAGACAGCTGTTTGGTGAAAATTTCCACATTCCAGGTCCTGAGAACACCAAGATGGGTGAGACACAGGCCCTGGGAGCTCAAGACAGATTTGGGAAGAGTGAGGATTGGGAGCCAGGCACCACTTCTCCAGTCTGAGACCAAGGGGCTGGTTCAGAGCTTCGGAGAGCAATGCCCAGCTGTAACCTCCCAGATTTTTCCTTGACTGCAGCCCTCATTAGTTATTTATTTACTTATTTTTAGAAATAGGTTGTCCCTCTGTCACCCATTCTGAAATAGTGGTGTGATCATAGCTCACTGCAGCCTCAAACTCCTGGGCTCAGGAGATCCTCCCACTAGCCTCAGGAGTAGCTAGGACTACAGGTGCATGCCATCACGCATTGCTAATTTTTTTACTTTTTGTAGAGTCGGGTTCTCACTATGATGCTGAGGCTGGCCTCAAACTTGGTCCTCAAGTGAGCCTCCCACCTTGGCCTTCCAAAGCATTGGGATTACAGCTGTGAGCCATTGCTCCTGGCCTGGTTATGTATTTTTCACTGCCCTGCACCACCTGTGCACACCTGCATTCCTTACCTGGAAGACCCACCCATGGCATTACAGTTTATAGTGTTCCTAACAAGGCCTACCACAGTGTTTGTACACTGAAAGATCCTGGTGAACATTTCTTAGTAAACTACACATATCCATTTGCCAGCCAGTGTATGGTCTCCTGGTTCCCTTATCCCAGGGCATGAGCAATGTGTTGCAGCCTGGGGCTCAGGAATGGTGAGCAGGCGTGGGTGGAGAAATTTATAAAGAGGCTGTGGAAAGGGAGAGGGAAAAGACACTAGGGAGGCCAAGGAAGGAGGTGAGCTCTGAGGAGAACAGGGTACATCTACATATCGAACATCTTACCTCCTGAGACCAGCTGCGCTGCAGACTTGAGCCAGCTCTCACACGCAATAGGTGATTCCGAGGACACACGGGAATGCAAGAGGCCCATGACAAGTACAAATAGGGTTCCATTCTGATGTATACACACCCCCACCCTTCTATGTGCAGTTTTTCAGGCCCTTCTGCAAAGTGCCCATGAGGCTGACCACGCAGGCTTGGAGGGTCAACACGCAGTGCGCGCAGGGAAATGCAGAGCCCAGGCTCTGCGCACTTTCTGGTAGCTGCTGCCCCCTGCTGACACAGCAAGACCTTGACAGCCCAAGAAGGTCATCTCCGCTCTTCCTGCCAGGCAGAGTAGGAGCATCTACAGATGGGTTGATTCCACACCCCACAAATACGTACAATTACAATATGTCAATTTTAAAAGATGTCTAAAGGCTGGAAGCATAACCAGGCATGGTGGCTCATGCCTGTAATCCCAGCAATTTGGGAGGCCGAGGTAGGGGGATCGTTTGAGCCCAGGAGTTTAAGACCACCCTGGGCAACACAGGGAAACCCCGCCTCCAAAATAATCCAAAAATTAGCTGGGCATGGTGGGACACACCTGTAGTCCCAGCTACTTGGTAGGCTGAGGTGGGAGGATCTCTTGAGCCGAGAAGGTCGAGGTTGCAGTGAGCCAAGATCACATCACTGCACTCCAGCCTGGGCTAGAACGAGTGTCACAAAAACAAACAAAAAAAAAGGCAAAGAGCAGTGGTTCAAGCCTGTAATCCCAGCACTTTAGGTCAAGGAGGGAGGACTGCTTAAGTCCAAGAGTTCAAAACCATTTTGGGCAACACTGCAATACATCTCTACAGAGAAAAAAAAAATTAAGTTAAAAATTAGCGGGGTATGGTGGTGTGCATCTGTGGTCGTAGCTACTAGGGAAGCTGAGACAGAAAGATTGCTCGAGCCCAGGAGTCCCACGCCGCAGTGAGTTATGATTGCACCACTGCACTCCAGTCTGAGCAACAGCGCAAAACCCTGTCTCATAATAAAATAAATATTAAAAATTAAATTTTTAAAAAGGCAGTGGGGTTGTCATGCTTGTCAAAAATCATATCCAGATGAGGAGGGAAACACAACCCTTTCATAGAGTCCACTTGCCTAGCGCAAGATGGGATGAAGCCTCCGTGAGTTAAGCACTCCGAGGCTGTGAAGAGGTGCTAACAGGAATCGCTGCACCTCAGATCCACTGATGTAGCAGCATGCCACACATGCCTCTATGCTCCCATTTTATAGGCGATAAAATTGAAGCGTCATGAAATTTGAGAATTCCCATAGAGATGTGATCCTGGGATTGTGCATCACCAGGTCCTGACCTCCAAACTGCTGTACTGATAAACCCACCTGATACAGCTGTGGGCTAAGAGAAGGGGCAAGAAGCAAAAGCACATTTCCTGAGCATCTGTTGGTGAGAGCCTGTGTCAGGTGTTGGGTAGACTGAGGCCCCAGCCCCACACTTGAGGAAGATGAAGATCAGAACAATTCATTACCAACAGGCCAATGTAACATGTAACATGACACAGTACAGGAATGGGGGATGGGGCCCTATGTCCCCCACACCTTGACCATCTCTTCCTCACCTTAAACAAAATTTCTCGACCCTCTTTGCTGGGAGAAGGAGCTAAGAAACAGTATTCCCACTTCTCATCTCTTCTTCCCAGCAAAACTTCCTCGGAGATGACTACCTCCACTTCCTCACCTCCTGTTCCTGTGAGCCCAGTGGTTCAAGCGTTTGGACTCTAGAGTCCAAGTGCCTAGTGGGAGCCGCCTCCGTTACCTTCAGCAAGGCTGAGTACCCCCCATTGTGCCTTATTTTCTTACCGTGGAAAGGAAATCATAGTGTTTATCTGTCCTATAACATTGTTGTAGAGATTAATTAGGGGCGTTCCTGGTACGTGAAATGCACTGGATGAGTACAAGTTACTACAACGAGGGTGGGAGGGAGGGAGCTCTTCGGCTTCTGTCTTCTTCTCCTTAGAAGTACCATTGGCTCTAACCTTCCTGGTCTCTCTTCCCGCCTGCCGCATCTTCTAGGTGATTTTGCAAGGAGAAACGCACGTGCATGGCATAGCCCTTCTTTTCTAGGGCTCTTCTGTACCAGGAGCCTCACAGGTCCTGCCTGCCAGTGACTGGGTAGGGAAGTCCAGCACTGTGTGTCATCTCAGAAAGCCCTTCATTAGGACTATAATACTGTATTATAGACTGAAAATTTGCTGAGAGTAGATTTTAGGCGGTTTCACAACAAAAAAGGGGGGAGGTAACTGCAAAATGATAGGCCAATTTGATACCTATTTCATTATGTGCATCAAAATACCATGTTGTTCACCTCCTATACATACAATTTAAAAAATTTAAAAAGCCCACTCACCCAAAAACATATGCTATGCATTTTCATAGCAGCTTTTCTAGTAATAAAATATTATGACACCCATCTGCCAAGTCAGGGAAGGCAATCTCAAACTCCTGGACAGCACCCATCCAAAGGCACAGTGAGTGCTCAGCACATAGCGGCCCCAGATGGCCCCTCAGATGGCGTCCACAGCCACCAGGGTCACTGCTCTGATTGCGTGCCTCCAATTCTTGGCCTTCACCCTGCCCCTTGACCCCAAGGTTTCTGGTCTTCCTCCCTGCCAGCACCTTCTTCTTCCCTTGGCTGACCTCTTCTCAACAAAACTCCAAATACTGGTACACTCCAAGTGCAGCTCAGGCTAAACAAAGCCTTTTGCTCTTCTTCAAAGCTCCTGGAGTTCACATCCCTATCCAATCTCCCACCTGTGAGTTCAAGTGCCCTCAAACCCCTCCCATCCCCCAGCCAGTCAAGCCCTGACTTGGAAGTCACCTTTTATCTAGGTTTTAATTTCAGAGAAACAACGGATAATTCATAATGTAAGTACATCCTAAACACTGCAGCAGACAAAAATACTGCCTATCTGAAATTTCAGTGGGTTCACTGTATTGATAAATCTGGCATCACTACTTGTGTCCCTTCTCTACATTCATGCTCACATCCAGACACATCTAAGATCCCAACCCTCTGGCACTCTCATCTCTTAGCTCAGACAGAGCCCACTCCACCCCGCAGGCCCCTTTCTACCAAACCCTCTCCTGGCACCCATCACCTCACACAGCATGGCCCCATGAGGCACCAACTCCTCCCCTGCTTCTCTACACTTGCCCTGTACATGACCACCCTGGCCATGGGGCCTTCCACCCCCGCAAGAGCATGCATAGCGCAGCTCACTCAATCTGGTCCTTCACCTCCCTTCCCTGACCACACCATCTAAAAAGCCTGCCGCCTAACCCTGCTCTTCCCTTGCCCAACCCTTGCCTCATCTTTGCCCCTTTTCTCTTCCTCCAGCAAGGACAGTAGATGTTAACTGTTACATAAACTACTTTATTTAAATAAAACCAGGAAAGACCCTTTCCCCCTTACACACCAGCACATGCACACACGCACACCCACACCCTCCCTCCCTTTCGGCTGTCTGCCCATGGCCACCTCAAACCCCGAGGTTCTCATTGTGACCAACCTCCCTCAACCTGTAGACCCCCGTGCAGAGTCCAGTTGCCCACGCATCCCGGTTGCTGGCAGAACATGGGCCTAGAAAAGAGCACTCCATCTTCCTGGGGTGGGTCAAAAGGAAGGACTGGTTCTCCCAAGGCACCCAGATCTGGTGTGGCTTCCCTACAAACTGGGAGCACTGCCAGGCAGCTGGAGCTGCTCCCTGCGGAGGGCAGAACTTTTCACCCCAAGCCAACCCCTCCCTGTAACAAAGGAAGTAAGAGGGTTGGCAGCCAAGCTTCAGTGTGCCCCGAGGGATCCTGCAGTAGGTATTTTCAGTTTGGGGAAGAGCAAGGGAGAGCAATTGAGCACCAAATTCCCTAACCCCGTCCTGCAGGAGGGTGCTGAGTCAGTTCAGCATCCTCTACCCAGAAAAAGTAAACACAACTGTGCAGCAAGAGTGAGGGTGGGAATGACAGGGGCCTAAGCCTTCAGGACCTCATGACTTCACCCCCAACATGGGCCCTCTTAGGGACCCACTAGCACCTTGGCAATGTTGAGGACCCAGCCCAGCGGAAACACCATACCCACAGGAGCCAGTCTGGAGTTGGTGATGCTCCCTATGTTGACAGTGGGGTTGGGTTTCTCTCCCTGACACCAGCTTCCTGCAGGCCCTGTAAGTTCTGCTTTGGGGCACACATCGCAGAGTGCCTCAGGTCATGAAAGGGAATGCTGAAGGGAAAGGTGGTGTCTTCCGGAGGCACACAGTACATCTTACAGGTTACACACGGGCAGGCTGGAGCAGGACGGGGGGCAGGGCTCAGCAGCATACCTAGGGTACCCTCCAGAGTTGCCTTGGGAAGGGGGGCGGGGCTGGAAACCAACGGGAGGGGTGACTGTCCATCCCCTCCGACGGGAGTACTCAGGCCCAGCACCCATTTTCTCTGATGAGCTTCCCAGTGCCTTCTAGACCAAGTTCCCTGAGGGAAAAAGCCAAACAGATGGAAAGAGAGGGAGCAGAAAGGGAAAGCAAAGGGTCAATGCCCTGCAGATCGTGATGAGCTGGCAGGCAGAGGCAGACAGAGCGCCGAGGGCGAGCCTTCTGAATGGGTAAGGCAAAGAGAGCCGCCTGCTGAGGGGAAGGGGGAGGCTGTGAGAACGCCAGGGCAGGCACAGAGGACTCGAACACAGCTGGCCTCTCCCAGGGAAGCACTGGAGAAGGGGACCTTCGGGAAGACGAGGCCCCAGAGGAGAGGGCGTGAGAAGACTGTGGGCCCCAACCGGCCCGTGGTGGCAGATTCAAGCCAGGAACCCTGGCCCCTCGGCTACAGGCTGACGCTGCGCTGGTGCCGACCCCCACGGGCTCCGCCGTCGCTGCCCCGGCGCCCTCCACTCCGCGTTCCCAGCTCTTGGCCGTCCAGACTGACGTGGTCCGAGAGGCCTCGCAAGTGCTCCACGGAGTCGCACTTCTGCAGGTCTGAAGCCACCGTGCGCAGGCTCAGCAGACTCAGGGTATCGGTGTCGGGGGCGGGGCCGGGCCCCAGGCTGCTGCCCTCCTCCAGCCCCGCACCCTCGGCCCCCTCAATCCCGCTGTCTCCGTCCTCCATGTCCTCGGGTCCTGCCTCGGCCCCCACGGGGGAGGAGCGCCGAGGGCCCAGGGGGTGGGGAGGCAGACCCCCGCGGCGCCGTGCGTGAATCTGCTCGCTGATCTGCTCCAGGTTACGAAGGGCCACGGAGTAGCGCGTCTTGGCCTGAGCTACCTGCTGCTCCAGTTCTGTCACCTTGGCCTTGTGCTCCTGCAGAGGGCAGAGCAGAGCAAGGCGACCCATGGGGCACGTCTCCACCTTCCTCAGCACTCTGCACTGAGGTCTGAGGGCCTGCTCTCCCAGAATACCTGGACAGCTGGCTCAGCATCCACCACAGACCCACAACAGCCTTCCCTGCTCCACTCTCAGCACCCACCACAGACCCACAACACCCTTCCCTGCTCCACTTGCTCTGCGTTGTTCCTCCCCAGCAATCCTGCTCCTGACCTGAGCCCCACCTTCCAGAGCCTTCCTCTCAGGCCTTCCTCTCCACCAGCTCCTGCTTCCTCATCCTCTCCCCACTGTTCCCTTTCACCCAATGGCTGGTTCTTCTTCCCCATCCCAGATTTCCACCAGTTCTTTTCCTCTTGTTTACCTCCCTTCTTCCAACTACGTTCTCGCCGTCACCAGCCCCCATCACCAGCCCCCATCCCTGCCTCTCACTCCTGCAAGGTCATTTGGAACATGTGTGCCACCACCCTTCCCCACCGCTAGCCGGAGGCCTCACCCTGGCCACCTCACCAAGATGGCCCAGAGAGGCCGACCAGCATCCCCTCCAGCCTGCACCCCCACCTACCCATTCCTCCTCCCCCTCACCCACTCAGCTACCTCCAGGATCTGGCTGAACTGGGCCTTGAGCTCAAAGTAGGGGCGGCTCTTGCCGATGGCCCTCCGGAGGGTCTTCTGCAGGGCTTGGACCCGAGCCTCAGCCTGTTGGCACAGCCGAGTCACTCGCTGGTGCTCCCGCTCACCTCGAAGCCGCTCTTCCTCCGCCTCATTCACCTGGCCCAGAGGACACATCACTGAGCCAGGACCCATGCTTCAGTCTCTGGCATCTGCCCCAGGCTGCCAATCTGAACAACGCCCTGGGGGGAACCCAAACAGGAACATCCTCTGCAAACCCCCAACTGTGTACAGAGCCCGAGACACGCAGGGGAACACGGGGTCTATGAGCCTCAAGACAGCTTATTTCTGTCTCTCTTGGATCTGCTGCCTGACCGTCGAGGACCACATCACAGGCACATGCCTCTGAGCCACGTCTTCCCCATGTTCTTGCCTAGTGTCACCTGCACCACTGGCTACTCAGCTTTGCTGCTGCCAGGAAAGGGATGCTGGTGCCCACTCAACCACTTGAGAGCATCAGGGGAATGTCTGTCAGCACATCACACATCTGCAGCAGCCATTCTCTTCAGGGAGCCCTCAGCGCCAATGGTTAGGGATCTGGGAGTGAGAAGAGCCTGTGTGGGGAGCCACAGCTGTGCGCTGGGTTCTCCAGGTTTCCACACCCTATGTGGGCACCGTCCAGGACAAGTGGGCCGAGGTTGGATGGGGCTCTGGCGTGCTTCTGCTCAGGGTGTTGTACAGTTGGCCCACTTGTCCTGGTAGACAAAGCGGCTGGAGCCCTCACCTGCTCCCTGTTCAGGTGTAGCTCTACACTATACACCATCCCCTAACCCCTCCCCCCGTGCTGTGTGCTCTCATTTGCATGAGCTCTAGAGTAGAAGTGAGGTGCCTGTTCTGTGTGAGGGGCAGATGAAGAATCACAAGCCACAAACACCCCCTCGAGTTGCTGACACCTGCCCTGTGCAAGCTGAAGGTGGCAGACAGGGCCAACGGCAGAGATCCTTCCGCTCCCCAGTCCCCTTTCAGGAGCTTGGAAATGATACATAAATTATACTTCAAAACTCGAGGTGTACTGTCAGAGCTCAAAAGCAGGAAAGGGAGCAGACTCTGAAAACAGAAGCGAGGAGTCACACAGCTAAACATAATAAAATGTGAATGTTGAATCCTCAGTATCCACCAGGGATGAATTGTTTGGGTTAGTCCCACACCTGGAGGCAAACGTTCAAGAAGAGCCCGGGATGACATTCTAAGTCAGAGGGAAATGGAATATGGGAAGCAATGGAGGCCAAACAGAACAGAAAACTAGGAACAGGTTTTGCCTGAAACAGAATCAAAGTTGAAAGAAGGCTAGAATAGAGGGAAGAATGAGGAGGTGAGGTGATAAAGACATAGCAAAGGATGGACGAGAACCAGCGAAGGGGACCTGCTGGCACCGCCCGGCTCACCTTGCAGGTAGCATGGTTCAGCATCTCCTGCCACGTGGGGTCCAGTCGGTTCTTGTCAGCCATGACGCCCTGCTCAGCCACAAACACCATTTCTCGAGCAGCGTTGTGCATGCTTACGGCCCGCTCGTACCGCAGCGCTGCCTTCTGTGTCTCCTGCTGAGCCTGGGGGGAGAGGGATATCAGGATGGGGAACCCTGAGGGACCCCAGCTGCCCATGGAGACCCATAATAGACGTGAGGATAAGAGAAGGAGGAAGGCCTACTAGCAATGTCGGCTTCATTTCCCAAACTGTGCTGAGGATAAATGCCAAGGAAGCAACATTCTATAAAGAATATTTCATAAGGATATGGACTAGAAGAAATAAAAATTTTGCCAGTGGAGGGTAGATGTGTGAAATCCAGCACTCCCAAAGGCTGCTAGCCTTTTCCCCTAGGGAAAACAAAGGAAAACACAAACCATTTTAGTGTAAGGTGGTTAGCAACATAGACAGAGTCTTACAGAAAAGATGACCTTGAGACCATCAATTCCATGTTCAGCAGGCAAGCTGAAGGAAGTAATCAGACAAGTGCTCAGGGACAGTCATCATAGCCATACCAACCAAGCAAAAAACAAAACAAACCTAACTTTTCAGTTATAGGACATCGGTTAAATAAATAATAGTACATCTAATATAAGAAAATAAGCTGGGCGCAGTGGCTTCTGCCTGTGAGCCCATCTACTTGTGAGGCTGAGGGAGGAGGATTACTTGAGCCTAGGAGTTTGAGGTTACAGTGAGCTATGATCACACCATTGCACTCCAGTCTGGGCAACAGAGCAAGACCCCATTTCTTAAAAAAATAAAATATTAATCAGTCCTTTAAAATGACGGCTTGGATGTATAGTTATTGACATGGAACCATGTCATAATGCTAATAAAAGAACAAAATAGCACATACTGTGTAATCCCATTTTGGCTGGATATACAAGGACACGAAATATGATTAATACAGCACACATGGTTATCTGTGCTGTATTAATCATATTTTTATTTTCTATACTTTATGATGCTTTCATGTCTTGGGGGACCTTGCTGGCCAAGGACAAACTGCCCCTTCCAGGGCTAATTCCTAGAAACAGTAAACTCCCCTGTAAGTGTGCCTTTCATATGCAAACCAACCACCTAATCCAAAGCCTGGATCCCCAGCTAACTCCTTTACCTACTTCTCCCCGACCAAGCCGATATTTCCTCTGCCCTAAGTCATCCCAGGGCCAGGTACTAGACAATTAGAGGCCGCCCCTATAGCCCAGGGCCTAGCAAAGTTATTCCAACTATCCACTCCTAAACTTATCCAAACTTGCCTACCCTGCCTCACCTACTCCTTTCCACGAAAACCACACTAAGGCGCTGCGCTTTGCTTTCTCCTTCACTTCTGCCTCCTGAAGGACCCTGGCTGCTTCCCCGTGTGGCCCTGCATGGCATGGATGTCCCCTCCTCTCGGGAACAAACTCTTCTTCCAAGGCAGTTGTCTGTATCTGTCACCTCACCATACAGGATGACAACAAATCCCAGGAAACAAAATGCATGAAACGTGCATGGTAGGATTTTGGGTGATTTTTGTTTCCTTCTTGTTTTATTATGTTTTTCCAATGGTGAACACATATTATTTGTTAAAAGTAATTTGTTACAGAAAAAAGGGGTGTGGGATGGGGAAAAGAGTGAGGAGTAAGCAAAGAAAAGATTCAGAAGAGAGACATGAACCAAAGGGAAGAGGAAATGGGCGCAGATGAAAACAACAGGATGTTAGAACTGACATATCTGATATACCCTAAAGCCTGATTCCTGATACACAGAAGGCACTTAAACATTAGCAGGGCTGAACTAAATATTCTCCCACAGCCACCCTCACCATTTTATAGACCATAAGCCCAGAGCCCACGTGGTAAAGGAACCTCCTGAGCCCACAGAGCTGGTTCCGACCAGCCAGGTCTAGCCCAGGGCTCTGCCCTCAGGGTCTGGTGTTTTGTCTCTCACTCCATATAGAGACAGAAGAATCCAGGGCCAGGCTCAGCACGTAGCCTTCCTCAAACGTGGTCAGCCAGCCATACCTCCTTAGCCAGCCGCCGAGCCTCATAGTAGGGCCGGGCTTTCTCGATGCAGCTCCCCAAGTGGGAACCCTGTGTATTCAGTTTCCTCGCCGACTCCTGTAGGATCCTCCGATAGGTGGTCCTGGCCTCCTGGAAAGGAACAAGGCAGAGGAAAGGCACATGTTTGGGTCCCAGCCCCTCTTGTTTCTCAGACACACCCCTCCCACCGCCACTGCCTCAATCTGGGAAAGAGACAGATGGAGATACTTCCAAGGACCAGCCCAAGCACATAAGGAAAAGGACACTCACATCCAGCTGTAGTTCCACCTGGTTGATCTCCTCGCTGGCCTGGTTCAGGTGCTCCAACTCCTCCTGCCACAGAGAGGGGTGGCAAATTAGTGCAGTGGAAGGAAGTAGCCTTGAATGAACCATGCAAGGCAGGAGCAACACAGAGAGAGAGAGCCCCACTTGCCCAGGGAAATGAGGTGAGACACTCAGGAAAGGAAAGAAGATACGGAGATTGCCAAAAGCTTTCTTGTCTATCAGGGACCTGATACATACAATCTCACGTAATCCTCACAACTCTACCTTGTATTGGGTAGTAAAACCCCAGTTTCAAGGATGAAGAAATTGAGGTTTGGAGAATGCAACACTAATATGCACAACGTGAAGTTGTGGTGAGCCCTCACTCTCTCCGTGAGATTGCAACACTTCCTCAAACTGAGGGAGTCTCCTTGGACCTGAAGGCTCGCTCTCTGCGAGAGGATGGCCACCTGGGCCAGGGCAGGGCCACTCAGTCAGCACATGTTTACTGCACACTTATCACCTCTCAGGACCGTGAGACCTGAGAATTCAGGACATAGAGGTGGCAGCCTGTAAGGAAACCCAGCAAGTCAGCAGCAGGTCCTGGGCAGTATGTGCAGCCTTGTGAGGGGTGGGTGTGGGTGCTCTCTGGGTAGCAAGGTCACCTAATTGGGCAGCAGAAGGTCAGGGTAGGATGCCTGGAACACTTGCTCAGCAGCTGGAAGGACTTCATAGACACAAAAGTGCCAGTGAATGACTAGGCAAGGTGGCTCACGCCTGTAATCCCAGCACTTTGGGAGGCCGAGGCAGGCAGATCACCTGAGGTCAGGAGTTTGAGACCAGCCTGGGCAACATGGTGAAACCCTGTCTCTACTAGAAATACAAAAATTAGCCGGGTGTGGCAGCGTGCACCTATAGTCCCAGCTACTTGGGAGGCTGAGGCAGGAGAATCACTTGAACCTGGGAGGCAGAGGCTGCAGTGAGCCAAGATCACACTACTGCACTCCAGCCTGGGCAACATAGCGAGACTCTGTCTCAAAAAAATAAAGTGCCAGTGAAGAACAAAGGGCCAAGGAACCAAAGGGGAGCAGGTACCCTGGGCAGACAAGTTGGCAGGTGAGAAGGTCAGTAAGGCTACAGCACTATGGGAGGTAGTACCAGGACTTTCTGCAATGGCAAAAGGGTCTCTCAGAGCCTGGTGCCAATGTAACGAAAGCCTGGGGGAGCCAGGGAGACAAAAGTGGAGGCTGGGACAGGCATGGTGGCTCACACCTGTAATCCCAGCACTTTGGGAGGCAGAGGTGGGCAGATCACTTGAGGCCAGGAGTTCAAGACCGGCCTGGCCAACATGGTGAAGCCCTGTCTCTAGCAAAAACACAAAAATTAGCTGGGCGTGGTGGCACACATCTATAATCCCAGCTACTTGGGAGGCCGAGGCACGAAAATGGCTTGAACCCGGGGGGCAGGGATTGCAGTAAGCCCAGATCGTGCCACTGCACTCCAGCCTAGGCGACACAGTGAGACTCCATCACAAAAACAAAAAACAAACAAAAAAAAAAAGGTGGAGGCTGTCTATAGTATTCCAGGTGGCAGAGGAGAGGGCAGATCCCAAGGCAACGCAGGACACAGAATCACAGGGGCTTGGTGGATGACTAAGGTCAAGATCAGGAAAGTGTATAGAGTCCAAGAAGCCTTTTGGCCTGCTTGGGCAATGGGTGACCATGACCGCAGGTCCCTATAGAGCAGATCCTGTGGGAGGGAGGGAGAGTCCTGGGGAAAAGTTGCTGGACAAGCTGGTTTGAGTGCCTTCCTGGCCCCTGGAAGGACTGGAGAGAGAAGCAATAGAACCATCCAGGGCTTTCCATGAAATGGAAGAGAGCTGAGAGGGGTACTGGCCTCAAGTCATCCTCCCTTGCCCGAGAAAACACAAAAGTTCCCAGAGCCCCTGGTGAGCTAAGGACACTACTGAGGAGCAGTGCTGGTCTGTGCCAAGGGCCTTGTGCCAGGAAATACCTGGTGCCTAGCTATAGGATTTGCCTTCACCAGCCCCTGCTGTCTCTGGACAGGAGGCTGGACAGGCCAGAGAGACCCAGCCCAGCATGTGCCTGCTGCCCAGACCCATGACTTGCACTTGGCAGTGACACCACAATCACTTCCCACTCATATGGCCGTGATGTTGGCCCCCACTCACCTCATTCGGGCCTTTCAGCAACCCAGTGAGGGAGTCAGGCTGACATGCACAATCTTCCTTTTAGTCCCTTCTACCTCTTCTATCCTCCCCCCATCCCCTGCCTTGATCCTGAAAAGATCTGGGTCAGCAGGTAAGAATACAGGAAATGGTTTGACATGTTAATTACAGTAACAGGAAGAACACAAAGGTAGAAACCTGTAATGGAACGAGGAATGAGGATATGAAAATGCACACACCTACCTACAACAGTGTAGACCCTGCCTAAGGAGGGCCACAAATCTGGCTCTAAACTAGGGATGTCCAATCTTTTTGCTTCCCTGGGACACACTGGAAGAAGAACTGTCCTGGGCCACACATAAAATACACTAACACTAACTACAGCTGATGAGCTTAAAAAAAAAAAAAAAAATCGTGGGCAGGCGCAGTGGCTCACACCTGTAATCCTAGCACTTCAGGAGGCCGAGGTGGGAAGATTGCCTGAGCTCAGGAGTTTGAGAACAGCCTGGGCAACATGATGCAAAGCCCATCTCTACTAAAATACAAAAAAATAGCTGGGTATGGTGGCACACACCTGTAGTCCCAGCTACTGGGACGGCTGAGGCAGGAGAATCACCTGAATCTGGGAGGCGGAAGTTGCAGTGGTCTGAGATTGTGCCACTGCACTCCAGCCTGGGTGAAGGAGCAAGACTCAGTCTCAAAAAAAAAAAAAAAAAAAAAAAATCACAAAAAAAAATCTCATAATGTTTTAAGAAAAGTTTACAAATTTGCATTGGGCCGTGTTCAAAGCCATCCTGGGCTGCATGCGGCCCACAGGCCACGGGTTGGAAAAGCTTGCTCTAAATTTTCTCGAAGAGACTTATTCAACAGAAACGTAACAGGAGCTGCACATGGAATTTTTAATTCTAGAAGCCACATTTTTTAAAAGTAAAAAAATTTAAAAAAAGAGTGAAATTATAAAAATACATTTAACCCAATATATACAAAATATATTTCAACATGTGATCAACATAAAATAATATTATTATCCATACTTTTACTTTTTTAAACTAAGTCTTCACAATCCGTATGCACTTGACTCTTGTGACACATCTCAACCTAGACAGTGGCATGTGGCTCCTGTGTTGGGTGGCGAAGGTCTAGAAGTTGTTGTATTTGGGTAGATGCATCTACAGTGTCCCACAACCCAGTGTCCATAAAATAACAACCATTCTGGAAGAACAGGCAGCCAACACAGCTCAGGGCCCCAGAGGAGGCATAGGGTCAGCATCAACACTACCAGACACATGGAACTCCAAGTTTCACAGTGCCTTCCGAACAGAGACATCACCAGCAACTGACACGATCACCCCAACAGGCCCTAAAAAGGCAATGTCTGTCAAGCTGAAAGGCAACCTACCTCCCTGGGGGCCCAGCTTCCTGGGGCTTGACGAGGCCTACAGGGGCTTTTAGGCTATCTGGGAGACGAGTGACCAGTTCTTTCAGCACCTCCTGCTGGAATATTCTTTCTCAGCAACTTTGCATTTGATAGATGAGAAACAACCAGGCGGAAAATTAGTGACAGACTTGGGTCTGGATCCAGGACCGACCTTTGATCTCACTTTCCTTCCACTGTGACCACCCTCCTGGGAATGAGGACACCACTGGAAGGACATCTCAGTAAAGAAAGAAGTGCTGTAATCTAGGAAAACCACAGCCCACGTAGGAAAAGGACAGGGATTGGAAATGCAACAAACATTGATTGTGGGGGGTCAGTTGGTAAAGGCCACCCTGCAATGTTCATGTGGCAAATCAAAGTCCAAGACGGGATCCCCACTGGATTCCATGGCCTCAAATGCTTCCAGTCATCAACTTCCAGCTCCTGACAAGATCATCAATGGATTGGATGGCTCAGCATAAGTTGTTACTACTGTTAAAAGGACAAGAAGAGCTGTTGCTATTGGCAAGTGGCAGGAGTGGGCATTATCTTTCTATATGGGAACTAGCTTCCCAGTGGCACCTCCAGCAATTTACAGAAAGCCATCTGCTGATGGGATCTGTCCCCTCAGAGTCACAAAGCTCTCCCTAACAGGACAAGAAGATGCCTGGGGAGCAAAGCAGCCTGGAGGGCAAGGTCACCACAGGAGGGAGGGGGATAGCCCACCTAGGCGACACCCAGGGAAAGGCTGAGCAGGAATCCACTGAGGACCTGGGACAGTTTTGGGCAGTCAGCAACACATTCCATTTGGCCTGCTTCACCAGGGACTCCTGGCACTCAGCTGAAACGGAATTTGGGGAGGACAAAGTCTGAATCAACGTGCATCATCCATCAGTGAGCCAGCAGCCAGCAGGGAGGGTGACCTTCCCAGGGCACAGCAGTCAGATTCCCAGGATGCCAGGACACTGAATCAAAGGCATGGGGACTCAGGCTGCAGATGCTCCCACCCCACCTAGTGCAGACCATCAAAAGACTCAAACTAATGGTAACTGGGGCCAGGGTGATGACTGTCCTGTGAAAGCTAAACCCATACTTCTAGATGAGGTCACAGAGGTTGCAAAGTCACCCTAGAGAGTTTGGAAAGGAGCAGGTAAACGAGAGCACTCACATCTGAGGAAAGAATGCAACCACTAAGAGGGGGCTGAGAAAGTCACAGAACAGACCCAGGTCCATCCTAGATCCACGCTCCTTTCCTCTTCCCTCCACTGGAACCCTCTCGGAAAGCTGAGGATGAGCCTGGAGGACTCAAAAGAACTCCACTAAGATCATGACAAGGAGACACAGCCAGCAGCCTTCCCTGGAGGGACAGCACGCTCCAGGTAGGCACCAGCTGACTTCCTTCTAACTTCCAGAGGAATCCCACCATAAATGGCCATGGAGCTGCCTGCCTGCAAAGGAGCCCCAGCCCCAGGTCAGACAGGGCCTCATCCGAAGGACAGCCATTTCCGGGAGCCTCAGAAAATACCGAAACAGGCGCTCTACCTTTGGGATATACCTGGCCCAGTGGATTTGGCTCTGACTGTAACATCAGAATCCCTTCTCACCCCACCCAGACTAAGAGAATCCACATGTCTGGAAAGGCTCAGGTAAGGGTATTTTTGAAGCTCCCTGGTGGCTTTTTATGGACGGTGGATGGAAACCCAGTAAATGCACTGAGAATCCAGAGAAATGAACACCCACCTAAAGCACTGAAACACATGATCAGAGCAATGTGCATGGTCTAGTGAACTGTCAACACTCAAAGGGACCTCGAAAGACAAACACCCCAATCTCCTCCTCATCTTGAAAGCCCAAGCACAGAAGGGCAAAATGCCACCGGCCTCCTCCGTGAAGGGTGCCCCTCAAGCCAGGCTGCCTCTCTCACACAGCAAGAAGACACTGACTCCCTGCTGAGGTCAGAGCACTGGCGTACCCACACCTGTGTCATCAAATGAGGGAAGCTATTACTAGACCTTTCCTCCCTATACAACCCACAACATTCCACAACGTGTTGTGCAGTTTAGCAAGAGAGACGAGGGTCTGCTTTACCTTTCCTGCACCAGCGACATCACAAGTTCACTGGAGGCAAAGTAAGTCTTACGCTACCTCAGTGTACTCCAACTCTCATAGAGCTCATCTGATAGAAGAGTCAGTGATGACAGAATATTCTATTTATGCACTGTCAGTATAACATTGAGGAACTGCTTTTTTTTTTTTTTCTGAGACGGAGTTTCGCTCTTGTCACCCAGGCTAGAGTGCAGTGGCAGATCTCAGCTCACTGCAACCTCCGCCTCCTGGGTTCAAGCAATTCTCCTGCCTCAACCCCCCAAGTAGCTGGGATTACAGGCACCCGCCACAACACCTGGCTAGCTTTTTTTATTTTTAGTAGAGACGGGTTTTCACCATGTTGGCCAGGCTGGTCTCAAACTCCTGACCTCAGGTGATCCACCTGCCTCGGCCTCCCAACATGCTGGGATTACAGGTGTGAGCCACCATGCCTGGCCGAGGAACTGCATTTTTACATGTTAATTTTAATTGATTGTGTTTAAATAGCCACATGCAGCTAGTCCACCCTATTAGACAGCACAATGCAAGCATGACTCTTCCTACTACTACCATGTGCCTATGCAGACACTGGAAAAATACATAGGAGTAGTAGAGGCCAAGTAAAGAGACCACAGTGGATTCTCCTCTGCAGAAGCCTTCTCTGGAGCAGGGCAAGGAAGGCTGTAGGGAGGCATATAATGCACATTACACAGCCCTCCTCCACAAGCAACAGAGAGACAGCTCTTTCCCAAAGTGCTATCTACAAACTATCACCAAGGAACAAGCAAAAAGAGTTTGAGAAAGAACTGTAGACTTGTGTCAGAGCAGAGCAAGAATGAGTTGTGCAAATCAGCTAGACCAACTGCTCACTTTACAGATGAAGAAACTGAGGCTCAGAAACGTAAAGAAACTTCCATAAAAATCATAAATCATGGGGTTGGAGGTAGCGTGAAACTCAGCCCAAGACTTTTTTCACTACAACTGATTTCCTCAGAGGATGATAAATCTGTAGAAATAGCAAGAAAAATTGGCTGTTTTCAATGCAATGTCAGGCAGAGCAGAAATAAATTACTGACTCATGCCAGAAACAAATGGCTCACCACTGCTCCATTATAAGCATGGACACAGTAGAAGAGGAACCCACACACACACACATATCCCAGGAACCCACACAGAGAGTGAAGGAAGAATGCCAGGACTGGCTTTGATTTCTTCCCAACTCACTGGAGTAATCCAATAAAGGTTTGCTGACAGATAAGCCTAGGAATTTGAGCCTTCATATGTTCTTGCTCACCTACAGAAGAGTCACTTCCACAACATCAGAGTCTTGGAGATGTGACCGGAACAAATGGCAGACTCAAGCCCCAAACATGCAGGAGCATCCTGGTCGTCACCTGCCCAAGAAGCTTCCTCAGGAAGTCATTCTCAGCCAATTCCCTGAAACACTGCAACCCAGCTTTGATTGGCCAGGCATCTCTTCCACATGGAGTTGGTCTTCCTCACTGACTACCCCCAGGTCTCCTACACAAAGATCTGCCTGTCCTACCAACTAGATTGTAGACACTCCAAGGCAATAAACTGCTCTTCCATTCCTTTAGGAGACCCACTATCCTGAGGGCCAGGTATGTATGTTACTAAGGATTGGCCACAACAAAAGTTACAAATCCTTGAACATATGGGGTTTCTTTATAGATCTAAAGTTGATGCTACCTTTATAACACTGGAAAGGTCTCACTGTTTACAAGGGTGAAACACATTATCAGAGCAATGTGGGCCGCACATCCCTGGAAGGTACCGCTGAGAAGGTGAGAAAGGGGAAAAGATTCTCTCACTCAGCCTCAAAACTGTCCCCCAGTATCAAAGTCATCTCCTCTCACACAGCATCCCTAACTAAGGTGGCAGCCCCTCTGCTTATCTGGAAAGAAGTACAACACACCTACCCTCCACTGACCTAAAGTGTGCCTCCTCCATCTACTGCCAAGTGACACTTTGCTCCTTCAGTGAAGCTTTCAGCAATGCCTCCCAAGCACTAAGGCCAGGCCTTTCTCTGCACTCCATCAGCACTTCAGACACACAACTCTTTTGGAACTTGTTACATTACCCTGCAATGATTTGTTGACAAACTTGTTCTCCTTTCCTGCCCCAGCAGACTGGGGACAGAGTAAGTCTAAGCCCTCATTCATCCAACACTCTTCAGGGAGGCTGGAATCTGGGCTCTCCTTCTCTCCCTGCTCTCAGTGCTCTCACCTGTATTCTAGGATCCAGTTCTTCCTCCTCTCTTGGGGACAATTTGGCCTCACTGCTGCTGCTTCCACCTCCTCCAGGCTCTTCTGCGACTGGGCTCCTAGGGACTTCATCCTCTACAACTTCAGGCCGCAGCTCCCCCTGTGGGGTCTCCCGCCCTCCTGGAACCTGTCTGAGCTCAGCCATGCTGACAGGGGGAGGGCAGAGCCCTATGCACAAGAGAGGACTGACATGCTGGGACCAGGGCCCCAGCTTGGGGCTTCCTGGGCTCTAGATGGCCAGGAGAAGAGTTTCTCTTCTCAAAAGGCAGAAAAGGTGGGCACAGGAAGAACCTCACACTAGGTTAGAGGTTGAGATTCAAGTTGTCAGTGGGGTTCCTAGAGCTGAAGCCTTGTCTGTGCAAAAGTTCTTCCCTTCCCGCCACAGGGAGTCCACTGTGACAAACCCGGAGCAACAGCTCCAAGGCAGGGGGCAAAGGGGGCTTGGATCCTGGACCGAGGCCTGCTAGGAGGAGCACCATTCGGGAGGGTGGAGGCAGGCGCCTCCAGGCTGTGGTGGCAGCTGGAGAGAGAAGGCTGGGCCCGAGCTGAGGCTGTAGGATGAGCGTCTCTGGGGAGCTGCAGAGAAACAAAGGCCAAGTATATGGTCATGTCAGCATCAAAACCGCAGCCACCAGCCCCTTCCAACTCTACAGCCTCCCAAAAACTACACTCTCACCACGCCCCCACCCATGTATTCCGACCAGTCCCTACCTCAACTTCTCTCCTTAGCCCTCAAGGACTTTAGATTCTACTCTTCCCCCGTCCCAGCTCCTCTCGACCCAGGCCCTCCTCAACCAGCGCCTTCGAGACTTTCCTCTGCACCCCTAGGCTCTCCTCCATCTCCTGTGGTCTCCCGCTCGTCCCACTCCACCCCAGCCCGGCTTTGCGATTCACCTTGTAACCCCGAGCCCCACCCCACCTTCTCTGTCCAACCCGAGACATCTAAGCCTCCCGTCTCCAATTCCACACTCTTCCGCAATCCCAAGGACCCTACTCCCGTCCATTCTACCCAGCCATGCGCAAAAGCCCCCCGCACAGCCTTACCTCAGTTTACCTTCCCGTCCGCGGAGCTTCTATGCTGCAAACAATCTCCCCCCCTCCCTCCCCGCAACAAGCCGATCCAACCAAAAACGACCAGGCAGACCAGAAGCGGAAATACATCATCGGTGAACAACGCTCTCCCTCCCACGCTCTCTCTCAAGCCGGGCCTCCTCGGGAGGCCTCACACTCCCCCGCCCTGCCTTCAGTTTCCGTACAAAATGGTGCCCCACGTTGCTCAGGCTAGCCGTAGGTTGCCTCCAGACCATACTCCACCAAGGCTGAATGAAAGAAAAACATGAGAATGTGGTGCTGAAGAAAATTAGGGCGCGGGACGGAAATCGAGAGTAACTGGTGAGAAGAGGAATACTAGATATAAAACGGAGATAATAGCCTCAGAGTGAGTAGTGCCATCTTGCTTTACGGAGCTGCGGCGGCGGCTGCCGGAAAGCCACTTCCGGCCTGCTCCACGGAGGCGGGCGCGACGCCGAAAGTGAGCTGGTAAACTTCCGGCAGTGGCTCCGGGGGCAACTCGAGTCCGGACGCTGGCGGGCTTCGCGGGCGAAGGCAAAGTCGATTTCCAAAAGTGACTTTCCTCACTCCCGTGAAGTCGGCGGAACCCTCCACTAACGGCGTCTGAGCGGACGGCTCCGATGTGTAAATCCCACTCCTCGAGGCCTCTGGACCTTGCACCTTGAACGACGTTTTGGTGGGGTCACCAATTGCTCCGTGAATACTAACCAGGAACTTAGTCAACATTAACTCAGTTAATTCACTCGTGCACCCAGGGTCAGATGCCCTCGATGAGCAGGAGTTTGTTACATGGCATTGTGTATCGTTACCTAGGTCCCTGAGCGAGCGCCTGCTTGTCACCTCTAGGTGTCGCTTGGTGAGGGGAGGGCCTAGGCCTAAGGGGAAGGGCTTCATTCAGGGTTGGATGTTTTGTTTTTACAAAAGGCGTAACTTCCTCAGAGTCAACTCAAAACTTTGCCCTGCAGATGGAAAAGGCAAATGGGCTGAATTCCCCTCCTTTTTGGATCCTGTCAAAGACAACCCAGCTAGACATTGAAGCAGTGAAAAAGACTTTTTTCAGTAACTACTTACAGAAAGGAAAAGAACTGACCTCTGTTCCGATTTGTACAGAAGTGACTGGGCATTTCAAAGGGAGAATGAAGGAAGGAAGGTGATCAGGGCTCAATAGTGTTGGAGAAGTGAAAAATTACAGATTTGATTGGCATAGATGCGATTCGGCCAGATGTGTCTGCTAGCTAGCAGCTATAGAAGTTAGAGTGCTTTTTTATGTATTTATTTATTTTGAGACGGAGTTTAACTCTTGTTGCCCAGGCTGGAGTGCAATGGCGCGATCTTGGCTCACTGCAACCTCCGCCCCACCCCCACCCCCGAGTACAAGAGATTCTCCTGCCTCAGCCTCCCGAGTAGCTGGGATTACAGGTGCATGCCAACACATCTGGCTAATTTTTCTATTTTTAGTAGAGACGGGGTTTCGCCACGTTGGCCAGGCTGGTCTCGAACTCCTGACCTCAGGTGATCCACCCGCCTGGGCATCCCAAAGTGCTAGGATTAGAGGCGTGAGCCACCACGCCCAGCCTAGCTTGCTATTCTTGCACTGAGATTGGGAGGTAGAGGCTCTGCCCTTCTTGACGATCAATTTCAAAGGAATGGCTCTCAGGTCCTTTAGAAGGACCTCTTGAGTTGTAGCAGACGCATAAACACCTTAAAGAGAAGAAGGAAGGATTCATAATGGTAAGCCCTTAATAAACGCCCTGAGAAAGGGAGGTCAGGAGCCTATCATCAGGTGTTGGCTAGAACAAATAGTAAATTCTCCTGGTAGCATTGAGCTTTCTCAGGCAGGCATTTTCATGGGGGAGCTGGGGTTCTCCTAGGGACATGATCTGACACTGCTAGAAGGCATGCTAAAGTTTGTCTCTTAGTAACTCAGAGGTTTGGATGGAGTCATGTGCCAAGAGTTCTACAGTTCTCAGTCCATTTCTTCTATCCCTTCATCCCATGAATAACGATTTTTTTAAATTGAGCAGAGCAAAATATATTCCTTTAAAAGAGGTGATTGAAAACAGATTTTTCCATTAAATTGGAGGTTTTGTTTTTAAAATTACAAAAGTGATTTTTCTAATTTCAATAAGTCAGCAGGACCTTGAGTAACATTGTCTAAGTGGACAGCTTTGATGGATAATAATGCCTCAGTCTTCTACCACAGTCCTTTTTATTATTAAGGTGCCATACAAAAACCATAAAAATTAAATATAAGGTGATAAACATGATTTATTTGTTGTCTACCAGTCACTTTACTTTTGTAGAACTAGAATTTCACTGTAATAACCTCATTTTACCCAGGATGTTCTGTCTACCCTAGCCTGAATTATCTAACCTTTCTTATTCAGCACTGCTCCAATACCTGTCATTCTTATACCCCATCCCATAGCTCCTTTTCTCTGTGTAATGCTTAGCAATCACAAACTGCTGCTACGTGTCACAGATCTTTGGTGGGAAAACATTATGAATACATATAATGGCCAGACCCCTAGATCACATCCTGAGATTTAGCAGCTCCTTTAAAGTCTCCACTGGCCTCTTCCAAGGTTAACTCTCACCCACTGAGACCACATGTGAATCTATCATGTATAGATTGTGATATAATCCCACAATAGTTTTTCTGCTGGGTTTGGATAATGTTTTGGGTAGGAAGAGATTGGGCGATGCTGTGCATTGATTTAACCTGAACTTGTTTATTGAAGCCAGCACAAACATGATGAATTAAAACTTTTGTCTACAGCAGCACTGTCTGAAAGACCTTTCTGCAAAGAAGGAAATGTTAATCAGCTCTGCACAGTATGGTAGTCTGTAGACACATGTGGCCATTTAGAACTTGAAATGGAGCTACTGTGATTAAGAAGTTGTATTTTTTATTTTAATTTAAATAGCTCTGTGTAGCTAGTTTCTCCTTTCCTGGACAGCACGTTTTTAGAACCTGCCTTTTCTATATAATTTCTCCAGAATACATACTGAACTTTCACATCTTCAATACAAAACAAACAGCCTCTCAGTCTCCACTATCATTTGTCTTTTCTCCACTTCCTCCCTTCCCATTCACCCCTACAGTCTGGCTCCGGATGCTGCCAATTCATAGGAATTACAAAGATAAGGTCATCCATGCTCTCAATATTGCCACATCACTGACATCTGACACTGGGTTATTTCTCTCTTTTTTCTTATCATTTAGCTTCTGAGTCACCCTGGTACTGGGTTTCCTCTTCTCTGGCTTGTTGATTCATTCCTTTATGCAATATGTCTTTACGGAGTGCCTATTACGTGCCAGAATTTCAGGCAATGATGAGAAAAAGGACACTATCTCACTTCCCATGTAGGTGATAGTCTATGGTGCTCATTTTATTTTATTTTTGTTTATTTATTTATTTACTTATTTTTACTTATTTATTTGAGATGGAGTCTCACGCTGTCGCCAGGCTGGAGTGCAATGGCACGATCTCAGTTCACTGCAACCTCCGCCTCCCAGGTTCAAGTGATTCTCCTGCCTTAGCCTCCTGAGCAGCTGAGACTACAGGCACATGCCACCACGCCCAGCTAATTTTTTTGTATTTTTAGTATAGACAGGGTTTCACCATGTTGGTGAGGCCGGTCTCCAACTCCTGACCTCAAGTGATCCACCTGCCTCAGCCTCCTAAAGTGCTGGGATTACAAGTGTGAGCCACCACGCCCAGCCGATGGTGCTCATTTTATAAACTGGTGAGATTCAAACTAATTGGAAGACAACTCAGATATATGTTTTACCTTGCAACCCAGTATACATATATGTGTGTAAATATATTCATTAAAAAGGTACAGGACCTCTCCCCTCTCCCCTCTCCCCTCTCCCCTCTCCCCTCTCCCCTCTCTCCTCTCCCCTCTCCCCTGCACGGTCTCCCTCTGATGCCGAGCTCTCCCTCTGATGCCGAGCCGAAGCTGGACTGTACTGCTGCCATCTCGGCTCACTGCAACCTCCCTGCCTGATTCTCTTGCCTCAGCCTGCCGAGTGCCTGCGATTGCAGGCGCGCGCCGCCACGCCTGACTGGTTTTCGTATTTTTTGGTGGAGACGGGGTTTCGCCGTGTTGGCCCGGCTGGTCTCCAGCTCCTGACCGCGAGTGATCCGCCAGCCTCGGCCTCCCGAGGTGCCGGGATTGCAGACGGAGTGTTGCTTACTCAGTGCTCAATGTTGCCCAGGCTGGAGTGCAGTGGCGTGATCTCGGCTGGCTACAACCTCCACCTCCCAGCCGCCTGCCTTGGCCTCCCAAAGTGCCAAGATTGCAGCCTCTGCCCGGCCGCCATCCCGTCTAGGAAGTGAGGAGCGTCTCTGCCCGGCCGCCCATCGTCTGGGATGTGGGGAGCGCCTCTGCCCCACCGCCCCGTCTGGGGTGTGAGGAGCATCTCTGACCGAATGCCCTGTCTGAGAAGTGAGGAGCCCCTCCGCCCGGCCGCCGCCCCGTCTGGGAAGTGAGGAGCCCCTCTGCCCAGCCGCCACCCCGTCTGGGAGGTGGGGGGCCCCTCTGCCCGGCAGCCGCCCCGTCTGGGAAGTGAGGAGCCCCTCTGCCCGGCCGCCACCCCATCTGGGAGGTGTACCCAACAGCTCATTGAGAACGGGCCATGATGACAATGGCGGTTTTGTCGAATAGAAAAGGGGGAAATGTGGGGAAAAGAAAGATCAGATTGTTATTGTCTCTGTGTAGAAAGAAGTAGACATAGGAGACTCCATTTTGTTCTGTACTAGGAAAAATTCTTCTGCCTTGGGATGCTGTTAATCTTACCCCCAACCCCGTGCTCTCTGAAACATGTGCTGTGGCCACTAAGGGTTAAATGGATTAAGGGCTGTGCAAGATGTGCTTTGTTAAACAGATGCTTGAAGGCAGCAGGCTCCTTAAGAGTCATCACCACTCCCTAATCTCAAGTACCCAGGGACACAAACACTGCGGAAGGCGGCCCTCTGCCTAGGAAAACCAGAGACCTTTGTTCACATGTTTATCTGCTGACCTTCCCTCCACTATTGTCCTATGACGCTGCCAAATCCCCCTCTCTGAGAAACACCCAAGAATGATCAATAAATACTAAAAAAAAAAAAAAAAAAAAAAAGGTACAGGAAAAGATCTTTACCCAAATTATATGTAAAGCACATTAATATTTTTATACTATTTTTAAATGCTGGTGGAGATCTCTTGTTGATTTCATTACCTATTCACAGTTTGAAAACCCTGTCCTAAATGTTACTGTACCCCAGGCCCTGATGTTAGCTTCTGACCATCTCATGCTGCCTACTTTCCCTGAGTGTCCTTACCCTAGTGCATGGCTGTAGTCCTTACCCATGGCTACTGTTCCTTCCTTAGAGCTCTGTCTTCACAGACTTTCCGCAGATCACATTCTGAGATCCTTCAGCCTTTGAGATACCGCTGGCCTGTCCCAGAGTTGCCCCTCTCTCATGGATCCAAATCTGATTTCATCCCCTTTGCCAAATCCTGCTCTTCTGACATTCAATGCTGGTAAGCGGTTCTACAGTCCACCTCTTTACCCTACGGAAAAACCTAGAAGGCACCCCCCACATTGCTTTTCATCACACTAAGTATCTCAGAGAGATGCCTTCTGTTCATCTCATTGCCATAGCTTCAGCTTAGACTCTCCTCATTTCCATCATAGATCACATACCTCAGAAGTCTTCTAAATCAGCGCTTAAAGTAGCACTTAAGCAATGATGGAAGTTACTATATTTGCACTGTCCAATATGGTAGCTACTAGTCATGTGTAGCTCTTGAGCAGGTTTAAATAGCCACATATGGATCCTGCCACAAGGATCCCTCCTAGTTCCTGGCACTAATAAACAACCAACCAATCCCTATAGACTGACTTTATGAGTGAAATGTAAAAATATGAAAGCCATATAAAGATGTTAGCAACACTGTCAATTACTATGTAATATCACAAATCAACTTTACTTCTTAGTTAAATAATTTTTTCATAAATTTTTACTTGTAACTTTTATTTCTAATTTTCTCACATAAGTACCCTAAATTGCCTCCATCATTAAAAATTACCTTTTTTAGGTTTTTTTTGTCTACCAACATAAGCTACCTTTTTATAGTTCTTAACTTTTTTCTACTATCAGTTATATATTTAATAAATACCACCATTAATTGCTGATTAAACATATTAGTTGACAAATATATAGTAATAGAAAGCAGATCAGTGGTTGCCTGGTGGGGAGGTGGTAGAGATTACAAAGTGGCATGAAGCAGCTTGTGGGTAGTGGATATGTTCTCCATCTTGATTGTAGTGAGGCTTTCATGCGGGTATATATATGTCAGAGCTTTTCAAACTGTACATTTCAGTGTGTAATTTGTGTATCAATTATACCTCCCTAAAACTTTTTTAAAAATCCAGTTGAAAACTTGCTCCCAGAAATATATAATGTAAAATCTACTAATAAATGTTAATGGAAGGGACAGCCTGTATTACGCTTATTTGTTTATTTAACTTTTTAGAGACAGGGTCCTGTTCAGTCACCCAGGCTGGAGTGCAGTGGCCTGATAATAGCCCACTGCAGCCTCAAACTCCGGGGCGCAAGCAATCCTTTTGCCTCAGCCTCCCAAGTAGCAAAGACTACAGGCCTTCACCACCATGCCTGGATAATGTTTTGATTTTTGTTTTTGTAAAGATTGGGTCTTGCTATGTTGCTCAGGCTGGTTGTGAACTCCTGGCCTCAAACAGTCCTCCTGCCTCAGCCTCCCAAACCATTAGAATTACGGACGTGAGCCCCCACGCTTGCCCTAAACCTGTATTACTAAAAATCTTTATTTTTACCCTTGTTAAATCTGCTGAGTTTTCCAGAGGTAAATTACTTCCCCGAGTTGCTCATCACATGTCATAATAAAAACAGCAAACACTTATGCAGTGTATGCCTTGCACCTGGCACTGTTCTGGTTTATTCATTTGATCCTCACAAAAACCAACTACAGTAAATTGTACCTTCATTTTACAGTTGAAGAAATTGACAGACAAGGAGATTAAATAACTTGTCCAAGGTCATACTGCTGCTAAGTGGTGGAACCAGTCTTTAAACACAGACAAAAGTATTTAAGATTTTTAAAAATAATTTATAGCAACACATCATATATTAAATGTATCTACTTACATTTTAAATGCTCTAATTTGTGAAAATAACCAAAATCAAAATGCTTTCTAAAGATCCGACAGGTTTGCATGTGATACCATTATTATTTATACTACTGTTCTTTTTTATTTTATTTATTTTTTATTTTTTGAGATGGAGTCTCGCTCCGTCGCCCAGGCTGGACTGCAGTGGCGCGATCTAGGCTCACTGCAAGCTCCATCTCCCGGGTTCATGCCATTTGCCTGCCTCAGCCTCCCAAGTAGCTGGAACTACAGGTGCCCACCACCACGCCCGGCTAATTTTTTGTATTTTTTAGTAGAGACGGGGTTTCGCCGTGTTAGCCAGGATGGTCTTGATCTCCTGACCTTGTGATCCGCCCGCCTCGGCCTCCCAAAGTGCTGGGATTACAGGCGTGAGCCACCACGCCCAGCCCCTATACTACTGTTCTTAACCTTTAAAGTGGTTTCAATTATAAAAACTGATTCTATCCTACCTTGCATTTTACTTTGAAACTGATTTTCCCCCTGAAAGTTCTGCTTTATGATTTTAAGCTCATTTTCTGTGTTTTGTTTTGTGAACCACTGAGCCTAGATGTGAATTTTGAACATAATTTCCATATAACATAACTCAAAAAATTGTGGTTAAGGACTAGGAAGCAATTTGTATTTTAAAGGAAGTTGATCTTCAGATATCCTCTAAACAAATATTCTACTTTTGTGCTATTCCAATTTTATCTACTTTACTATAGCTCTTCACAATTAGTTTACCTGTACAAATGTAAAAATAATTAAAGTAGCATTCTCTCCGATGGAATCGTGTTTGAGCCCTTGAAGTTGACCACAGACTGTAAGCAGCACAAACTCCAATAATTTTCTATTAAGATTACTGTTTAAAAGACATTAAATCCTCTGTGTCAAGCCATTAAGATTAATATGTGTGTTATTGATTCAATTTATGTTTTTGCTTATCTTCTTGTTTCCTGAAATCCATTTTGATATGGCTTTACAATATGTTTGCAACTTGCAATTAATACAAACCCTTATTCCTTAAACACTAAATAAAATCTTCATTTCAGGATTTAGTCAGCCAGTCTTTCCAGATCTTATTATTCTAAATTGTTAGATTTCACTTTTCTGTACTTGGTTCTTTCCTGTATTTGAAAACTGTGTCAGTTGACATCTGTGGAATTATTCGGGGAAGAACTGGAAGCTACCATGCTCTAGAAGCCAATATTTTTATTGTAACTGAAATTAGAATGTTTGAAGAATGGCAAACATTGTATTTAGCAATACAGGAATAAGATTCATGAAATTGAAACAGTCTTCTCAGTCCTTATACCCCCAGTAACACAGTAAGCCTTCAGCATCTGATTTTTGGCATTGTGAATATCCACTGGGCTCACATTTCAGACAGGGATTTGAAATAGTGGTCTATACCTTAGCCCTACTTACTTGCCTTTCAGTTGCCCCCAACAGCAACGTAAGCCATGTACTATGTGCCTGCTCTGCATGCCTATAACTTTTACTTCCCTTCCTTTCTGTCTCACTTCATAAACCACTGACAGTGCCCTCTAGCCAAACATAACCACCTTGATGCTGTTTGACTTACTTCAGCATTGGACATTGTCCACCACTTCCTCACATGGGAATCTAAAACCTGACCGTGTCCTGACCTTCTTCCTCCCCAAAGCCTTTACTGGCTTCCCCTTCTGCAGCTGCTTCCTTTTGGAGGCTGGTGCTCTAGGTATGGTGCCTTCAGCCCCTACTAATCCACCTATAGCCTCTTAGAAATGTCATCCACGCCCACGGCTTCGCGTATTCGCCTCTAACTTCCTAGTCTTTACAAATCCTGATACACCATGGCTCCTCCTCTTCTCACTGAGGGAGGCCTACACCCTTGGGTATGGGATAGACTCTATACTGTAAAGGAACATAATTTATTCATCTCTATATTTCTATTACCCAGCCAGGTGCAGACTCAGTGGGTCCTCAATAAAAGCTTCTGAAAAGGAGGAATTCCTTGATTTAGCCCAAAACTTATTTGCATTTCCTCTTCCAATACCTTCACCCACTCTACCTTCTTGAATTCCTGTCCCACCCCACTCAGCATCTTCCACAGGATTCTGAGCCTCCTCCACTCACTCAGTCTGGATTGAGTGCATGCTCACTCCCTTCCTGTTCATCTAATCCCTCTGCCTGACCCAGTCCCATCACTTATATTGCAGAAATCTGCCACTGGGGGTGTGTGGTGGGAGGTGAAAATCATTGTCACCTCCATCCACAGATCCCTATACAAAATCTTGGCTACATGCTGAGCCAATGAAGTTTACTGATGACCTATTGCAGAATTACCCTATTCTTCCTGTTGTACCTTTATACCACTTTGTACTTTGCACATGATGGGATGGCAAGGTCTGTGGGCGGGGGGAGCGGTTGCCATCCCTCAGCATGTCCTCAAAGGACTCAGTCTCCATTTTGTCTCCGATACTCAGCCCATTTCTTTGCACATAGCAGGTGTTCAGAAATGTGCATCCAGCCTCTGACTCTGCCCTCAAGCTTATAATTTAGTAGGAGAAATAAAGTATGCACATTATTCTAAAGTACATGGTGGCCAGGCATGTTGGCTCTTGCCTGTAATCCTAGCACTTTTGGAGGCCGAACACAGCAGATCACTTGAGGCCAGGAGTTCAAGACCAGCCTGAGCAACATGGTGAAACCCCATGTGTACTAAAATTACAAAAATTAGCCAGGCATGTTGGTGCGTGCCTGTAGTCCCAGCTCTTTGGGATGCTGACACACAAGAATCACTTGAACCTGGGAAGCGGCTTCAGTGGGCCGAGATCATGCCACTGCACTCCAGCCTGCGTGACAGAGCAACACTCTATCTTGAAGTACATGGTAAAGGATGTAAATAACAGAGTAAGTGTCTTATGCATCTTGTGGCTTGCAAAGATAATAAATACTTAGGGAATTTCTGGGTGAACAATACTAGTGGTCTTCAGAAAGAAGATAGTTTTCACTTTGAGAGTGGGTTGGTGTTTGAACAGAAGTCTGAAGGATAAGTAGGACTTTGGTAGACAAGAAAAAGTGAAGGAACAGGAGAAGTGTATGCCAAGCTGAGAGAAACGTAGAAGGTAGGTGGGGAGTGATCCAGTTTAATGGAGAGTTTAAGAGAACAGACTGGAAAGACAGGTTGGAATAGGTGAAAGAGGGTCTTGAATATTACACCAGAAGAGTAAACTTCATTTGGTGATTGTACAGACTTTTTTGACTATTACTGAGCAGGAATGTGATACAATCAGAACTTTGGGGAGATTCATCTGGTAGGTTCACAGCTGTTATCTCCAACGTCTAGAATACTACCTGGCATATAGTAGACCTTCCATAAACATTTTGAGTATTTACAGAACCACATTAAGAGTTGTCATTTATTGATGTAGATGTGTAGAGAAATAAAACCATTTGGATGTGATATTTTTAATTGACAAATATACACATAACTTCATCCTTGAACTTTCTTTCACTACCCTCCATCTTCCTGTTACAATTATCATCCCCCACTGTGATGACTTCCATAACATAGGAAACCTAAATCCAGCTTCCTGTTCTTTCCCCCCATTGTTTGAGTTTTTCCCTCCAAAGCTACACAGAAGAAAGTCATCTAATCCAGTCCTCTTTCACATGAAAGTTTGTTAGAATTTGTGTACAGTCATTATGTGCACAAAAAATGTTTCTCTTTCTAGGTTAAATATCCCCAGCCCCTTTAATTATGTGACCACCCTAGTCACCATCCTCTTCATGTCTCTGGGATTAGCCAAGTGTGTCAGTGTCCTTAAAAACATGACATCAGTACTGAGCAATGAGTCCAGAAATGTCTAAATTAGTACATTTCTCTGGCTTAAAGACTCTGGAAATATCCTCAACTAATCATTCTCTATATAATACTACCTTATCTGTGTATGATTCTTTACAATAAAAATATATATACTTCAAGCGCATTTTCCATGTCTCTCTCAATGTTATCCCTTCCTGGTTCAGGCCCTGATCACTCCAGACCTGCATCCTGTGTCTTGCTTTTCAGCTTTCTTGCCTGCTGCTACCAGATTTGTCTTCCTTAATCCGTGTTGTCATATGCGGGTCAGCAAACACTCATTGATCATCTGTGGCGTGCTGGCCCTCTGCTCATGCTTCAAGGGATCAATTGTTCATGAGTAGGACAAGGCCTGTCCCTTAAGCTATGGGGGAACAGTATTCATCTGACTATAACAACAGTATCAACATGCGGGAGGTTGCGCTGCAGCATAGATATGTCCCCAGGACTGAGGACAGAGAGGGGCATTCTAGCATAGGTTTATGGAGATGGCATTTGACTAAGGTTTTACAAATTAAAACAGAGAAGAGGGTAAGAGTTTTCCAGGCCAAGCATGGCAGGTCGAAGTACACTAATTAGGGGACCCCCTGAGCAGAGCTCAGAAGAGTGGTACTAAGTGACCTCCAAAGGAAGATTACAGCAGTAAAGGACCTTGAGGGCCATCCCTGGGCGTCTGTTCTGATGATATAGGCACACTAAAGGATGGCCAGGTTCCCAAAATGCATTTCCGGAAAGGAATACTAGTAGCATTTCCTAGTAGAAGACATTAGGGTCAACATTTGGACAGGCAGTTCAACCAGGAAGCTCATGGAGAGGCAGCTGGCAAGCCGACCAGGAGTAACCCCTATCCCTGGCATTGCGACTTTGGGCGTATCATTAACTTGTGGGGTCCTTACCTAAAATACAGGATAAATGCTCATATTTCCCCTGGCAGGGTTGTGGTGAGGGTTGAGAGATAATAGCTATCCAGTCTGGCCTCACTTAATAAGAAGGCGCTAACTTAACTACGGGGATGGCTGCCGCGGCCCCGTCCGCGCCGGGCACCGGCTACCGCGCCGGAAGCACCGAAGGGTACACCTGTCTGTGTCCCGCCAGCGGCCGCGGGAAGAGCTGCTGGAAGACTAGACGGTGGACCGCCTAGCTCCCGGGACTCCGCGGCTGGGGGCTGAGGCGCGCGCAGGGATCGGCGCCCTTTCCTCTGATTGGGCGGGACGAGGCCCAGGGGTGGGCCAACAGACAAAGCGGGAGGCAGGAATTGGTTAAGCCAGAAGAGAGGGCGGGGCCTTGGCCCGCGCGGGAGGCGGGAGTGGAGTCCCCCCGCAGGCTTTCTCTTTTAGCCCCGCCTGCTTCCCGGCTCCAGCTGGGGCCGGAGAGGCTGAGTGGTTGGTACGCTGCTCGCTGGCCTCCCAGTCTTCCCAGCAACCGGTGACACTGCCCGCGCCAGACTGACCACTAGCCGACGCGGGCGAGAGGGACAGGAGCGTGACCTCCCCATCCCGAGGGGCCGGACGCTCGGGCGCCTCCCCGCTCCCCCCACTCGGAGGCCGCGCGCGCCGTTAGCCCCTTCCTCGCTCCCCCGCCCCAGTCCCGCAGTCCGGGAGGCGGGGGTCGGCAGCCGGCTGAGTGGGAACCGCGCGGTGTCTGAGGAGGCAGTCGGCGACCGGTGAGGGGACTGAAGGGCAGGGGAGGGCAAGGGTGGCTCGGGGCAGCAGTCCTCAGCTGTGGCTAGTCTTCTCCCATCTGCCTCGGGCGACTGGTGTCTGCGGCGGTCGGGAGCGCCGCCCGGGCTGCGAGTGACGCGGGGATACTGCGGGGCGAGCGATTGGCCGGACACGTCCGCGCGGCCTGCTCCTCCCAGGCCTTCCCCTCCGCCTGTCCTCGCTGGTCCGCCTCGGGTGACCTTTTCGGGGCTGGCGTCACCACGACAAACGTCGCCAGGCTGAGCCGACTTAAGGGGGCAACGGCCGCCACCGGGTTCTGGCAGCGTTAAACGTTCCCCACTACGTTTTTGGTGCCCGGTCTCGCCCTCCAAGTCGGCTGGCGCCACGGGCAAGGGGCTAGGGTAGGCTCGGGGTTGGGAAGGGGCTCGCTCAAAGAAAGTTTGCCCAGCAACTTGTGACGCGCGCCGACTGAGGCGCCCCAGGATTGGCTGCGCTGCTGTGGGCCACGGAAAGCGACCTGTTCAGGTGCCGTGTTCCGCATTCGGCGAATAGTTGTGCTTCGCTCTTAAGTACCAGGCACCAAGTCCCCAGATGAGTAGCCAGCTTCCCTTCTTTCATCTTGGAGCCCACAGTTCGCGCAAGTGGAGCTATGGAAGGCCCATGCTGTGCTGTTCTAATCATGTGAGGGATTCTTAGGGGTTGAGGGGGAAGGACTGAAAACGGCTGCAGACCGTTTAGGATGCCTGGAGTGGAGACAGGAGTTAAGCCCCTTACTCAGAGTCGCTCTTAAGAACTGCCCAGGGCCGGGCACAGTGGCTCATGCCTGTTATCCTAGCACTTTGGGAGGCCAAAGTGGGAGGCTCTCTTGAGCTCGGGAGTTCAAGACCAGCCTGGGCAACATGGTGAGAACCCTCGTCTCTACAAAAAAAATAATGATAATAATAATTAGCCGGGTGTGGTAGCACCTGCTCATAGTCCCAGCTCCGCAGGAGGCTGAGGCTGGAGGGTTGCTTGAGTCCAGGAGGGCGAGGCTGCAGTGAGACAGTGATCAAATCACTGCATTCCAAGCTGGGTGACAGCAAGACCCTGTCTCAAAAAACAAACAAACAACAACAACAAGAAGGACTGTCCTAGGCAGAGTAAATCCTAAGCACCGGGCAACCGCAATTCTCAGTGTTAGCAATTTTTTTTTTTTTTTTTTTTTTTTGAGACGGAGTCTTGCTCTGTCGTCCAGGCTGGAGTACAGTGGCGCGATCTCGGCTCGCTGCAACCTCCGCCTCCTGGCCTCAAGTGATCCTCCCACCTCACCCTTCCCAGTAGCTGAGACTACAGACGGGCGCCACCACACCTGGCTGATTTTTGTATTTTTCGTAGAGACAGGGTTTCACTGTGTTGGCCAGGCTGGTCTCGAGCTCCTGACCTCAAGTGATCCGCCCGCCTTGGCCTCCCAAAGTGCTGGGATTACAGACGTGAGCCACCATGCCCGGCAAGATTTAGCAATATTTTGACCTTTCCATATGAAACACTATAATAATAGCTTTTTTTAATTTATTTTTTTGAGATGGAGTCTCACTCTGTCGCCCAGGCTGGAGTACAGTGGCACTATCTCGGCTCACTGCAACCTCTGCTTCTCGGGTTCAAGCGATTCTCCTGCTTCAGCCTCCCGAGTTAGCCAATACTACAGGCGCGTGCCACCATGCCTGGCTACTTTTTTGTATTTTTAGTAGAGACGGGGTTTCACCATATTGGCCAGGCTGGTCTCGAACTCCTGACCTCAGGTGATCTGCCCACCCCGGCCTCCCAAAGTGCTAGGATTACAGGCGTGAGCCACCGTGCCTGGCCAACTTTCTTTACTAAAGTTTTCCCATCCAGGAGGATCAGACATTCCAAGTCTACTGTCTAAGATCAGACAGCTAGTAATGGGAGGAACCAGAATTTGGATGCCTCTCTGGTTCTGCTACACAGGTTGCAGGCTCAACTAGTAAACCAAAGCAGAATATTTGTATGTGCAGTGCACAGTGCTGTGGAGGATATGATGACTGTAGTCAGAGTATTTGTATGTGCAGTGGATAGTGCTGTGGAGGATATGATGACTGCAGTCAGAGTACTTGTATATGCAGTGGGTAGTGCTGTGGAGGATATGATGACTGTAGTCAGAGTATTTGTATATGCAGTGGGTAGTGCCATGGAGGGTACGATGACTGTAGTCATAGTATTTGTATGTGCAGTGGGCAGTGCCGTTCAGGGTACGATGACTGTAGTCAGAGTATTTGTATGTGCAGTGGGTAGTGCTGTGGAGGATATGATGACTGCAGTCAGAGTACTTGTATATGCAGTGGGTAGTGCTGTGGAGGATATGATGACTGTAGTCAGAGTATTTGTATGTGCAGTGGGTAGTGCTGTGGAGGGTACGATGACTGTAGTCATAGTATTTGTATGTGCAGTGGGCAGTGCCGTTCAGGGTACGATGACTGTAGTCAGAGTATTTGTATGTGCAGTGGGCAGTGCTGTGGAGGATATGATGACTGTAGTCAGAGTACTTGTATGTGCAGTGGGTAGTGCTGTGGAGGGTACGATGACTGTAGTCAGAGTATTTGTATGCAGTGGGTAGTGCTGTGGAGGATATGATGACTGTAGTCAGGCCCTTTCCTCCAGGGACCTAACATTTGGGAAAATTGGATTCCAGACTAATACATCACTTTTAAAAAGCACTGAGTATCTTCTGTGTGCCCAAGTCCTTGCTAGGCCCAGGGAAGGTGTGAAAGACCTTATAGTCCTTTCTCTCTGATCTGGGGGGCTCTGGCCACTCTGGGCTTCAATGTTGCCTGTGTCTCAGAAGGACAGGACAAGCTCCCACTATGTATGTTCTCTCCTTGTCTACATCCTGTTGCCTGTGTCTCAGAAGGACAGGACAAGCTCCCACTATGTATGTTCTCTCCTTGCCTACATCCTGTTGCCTGTGTCTCAAAAGGACAGGGCAAGCTCCCACTATGTATGTTCTCTCCTTGTCTACATCCATACCTTCTCTATACTTCCCAGATTTCACAGGAAAATCTTTGTGAAACCAAAACTTTCAAAAGAATATATTTGGGCTCGGCACGGTGGCTCACACCTGTAATGCCAGCACTTTGGGAGGCTGAAGCAGGAGGATCAACTGAGGCCAGGAGTTCAAGACCAGCCTGGGCAACATGGCAAAACCCCGTGTCTGCTAAAAATACAAAAATTAGCTGTGGTAGCTCGAGCCTGTAATCCCAGCTGCTTGGGAGGCTGAAGCGCAAGAATCGCTTGAACCTCGGAGGCAGAGGTTGCAGTGAGCCGAGATCACACTGAGATGGCGCCACTGCACTTTAGCCTGGGAGACAGAGTGAGACTCTGCCTCCAAAATAAAAAGAATGTGTTGGCTCATGATCAGACTTGAGCACTTGGGCTGAGAGCAAACTGTCATTCCTATTTCCACCAGCTCCTTAGCTAGAGACTGAATCTGAAGCTGGAAGGAGCAACTTCTTTTGAAGTATTGGATTTTGTTTCTTTATGGGGGAAGGAAGCAAGGAGGGGCAATTCTGGTGCTCTGAATTCCGTTCCCCATCCGCACCTCCTAGAATAGGGCTGAAGTCTGTCCAGAGTGGAGAGGAATCCCTGCTTCCTGTTACATTCACTGACTAATAGATGCTCCTTCCAGCTTCAGATTCAGTCGGACATGTCTAAGGAGCTGGTGGAAACAGGAATAACAGTTCGCTCCTACCCCAAGTGCCTAAGTCTGATCGTGATCCAGATACATTCTTTTGAAAGTTTTGGTTTCACAAAGATTTTCCTGTGAAATCTGGGGAGTGTGGAGAAGGTATGGATGTGAACAGGGAGAGAACATACATAGTGGGAGTTTATCCTGTCCCTTTGAGACAGGATAGCCCACGCTGAAGCCCAGAGTGGCCACAGCACCCGAGATCAGGGAGAATAAAGCTGAGCAATGAGTACGAGGGAGGTGTGGAGGCAGGGGTGGCCTCTCTGAGAAAGGGTAGAGAGTCTTGAATGAAGGAGTGAGAGAGCTTTGCCAGTAGAAGGAATTGTAAGTGGCAAGGCCCCAAAACTCCCTCCTGAAGGCCAGGGAAACTTCTACTCCACACCCTATCTAGAGTGGGGAATGGATAGTTTGCTTCTATCTCATCTGGATTTCAGGGCAGTCTAGGGGTATCACAGAATCCTGGAGACAGCAGCATCACTCAGATCCTGAGGGGTAAGAATACAAGGAGAAGCCAGCAGAAGAATCACCTCTCCTGATGCAGCTACAACTCCCACCCTCCCACTGCCAGTTCCTGCCCCTCTTCTCATGGAGACCATTCCATTCCTGGGTCAGGGCCCCACGATTAACACAGCGCACACAGAGCACTCCCTGGGGCGCCAAGTGCTGGTTCTTGGGGTTGGCATTTTACCCCCTTGTCCCCTGGCTGCCTGGTGCTTCCCTGTGAATTTCACAGCCAGGTCTGTCCCTGCTGCTCACTGAGCTGCTGCAAGCCTCCTGGGGCCTTTAGGAAGGGGCGGGGCTGCCCTAGGGAGACTGAGAGATGGGCTACGTGGCCTGCTGACTTACTCCTGTCCCTAGACCCACCTGCGCACTTGTGCTGGATGACTGGACGAGCCTGTATAGGAAGCCCAGATCACATGGGGGTTACTAATAACACCCACCTCAAAGGACTACTGGGAGGACGAAAGGGAAACACATGTACAAACATGTGAGAATTCTTGTGTGTTAATACCAGTAACAACTGGTATGTATGGTTTCACCTTCTGAGAGTCGCAGTGAGAGAAGGTTTTGTGTAAGTCACAACCCCAAGTCCCTACCAGGTCTAGGTGTCCAGTTTCCAAAACAGCAGGTGGACTTTTCTGGAGAGGGCAGCTAGGAACTAGGGCCTTGGAAAATGAGAGGAACAGCTCTCCTCTGTGCTTACTGAAGCTCTGAAGGTCAGACAGGGTCAGTGACCTTTTCTCAGGTAAAGCCCTCCAAGGACTGAGGTGGGCCAGCCTCCTTTCAAATGTTCCAGGATTTGGAAAGGCCATTTGGACAAGCACTATTCAATAAAAATAAACTATAAGCCACATTTATAATCTTAAATTTTCTTTAAAAATGGGTAAAATATATTGTGATATATTTCATTTAACCTAATATATCCAAAAATATTTCAACATATAATCAATGCTAAACATTATTAATGAGGTATTTTGCATTCTTTTTTAATACTAAGTCTTTGAAACGAGGAGAGTATTTGGCTCTTACAAATCAACTCAGTTTGAACCAGCCATGTTTCAAGTGCTCAGTCACCACATGTGGCTCTGGGCCACTGTAGTAGACAGCATAGCAGGGAACAGTTCCCCTCAGCCCTATTCCCTGCTGCCCAAACCAGGTTTACCAACTCTGACTTCAAGATGACCGCTTGTTTCTTGTGAATCATGACTTTTTGAGGTCTTTTGTCCCACCCCAGAAATGCTGGCGTGGCAGAACAGATAACCAGGGAAGAAAAATCTTTATTCTGATTGAAAATAAGGATTTTCAATTATTTTCTTTTCAATTATTATTAAGGAAAAAAATGACATATGAAACTCAGAAGTTTATCTTGCCCCTATTATAGATATTGGTTTTTCCATTAGCTTATCTTCCTTCTTAGTACCTGTTTTGTTTCGGGTTTTTTTAGTTATATGTATAGTATTTGTTTTAAATGCTTGAAAGGTACTTATATACTTTATTCAACAATGAGAATTTTCACCAATTCACACGTAATTTCCCCCTTCCCTCTTTCCAAACTTTCCTGTACTTTTTTTCCAAAGTGAAAGAAATTTGGTGGTATAGCAACTGTAAAACTCACACTCAATCAGGAGAGTGGGGATTAGGATGATCTAGAAGTCAGTCTTTTTTTTTGGCACAGTAATAATTTTTCTTTCAGGTTTCCACTTCAAGCGTGACCCTTTTGCCTGTGGGATGAGCTCCAGCATGGGGTGAGGTACAGAAGAGAGACTTGAAGAGCGTGCCTTGGGACTCAAGCGCCAAACCTGTACCCTAGCGAGTGTCCTACTCCGCATCCGTAATGGAAGGAAATGGTATTGTTGTTTATATGCCGTTTAAGTCTACACGTTGGTATTTGTGCATTTGCCTTCCTTGGGCATGTGCCCTGGGAGGCAGTGGCCTGGGAGAGGGTGGGCTCCTAGACACATGGTTTGAGAGGTGCCATGGTCTCCAGATACCCGAGGAGGAGGCAGAGCACTCAGTGGGGCCTGAGCATTGCTTTCTTTGGCATTTGGGATCAGCCACTGAGTCTCCAGGAAGTTTTTATTTTCAGGAGGGCAAGCATTCCTCTGACCTGACATCTAACTAGAATCAGCAGCCAGTGTCTGGGTCGAAAGTCCCTCTGGAGGAACCAAGGAGCTCTCTAAAGTCTACTCCAGCCTGGGCGTGATGGCTCACGCCTGTAATCCCAGCACTCTGGGAGGCCAAAGCGGGTGGATCACCTGAGGTCAGAAGTTCAAAACCAGCCTGGCCAAGATGGTGAAACCCCGTCTCTACTAAAAATACAAAAATTAGCCAGACACAGTGTCACGTGCCTATAATCCCAGTACTCAGGAGGCTGAGGCAAGGAGAATCCTCGAATCCGAGAGGCAGAGGTTGCAGTGAGCCGAGATGGAGTGACTGCTCTCTAGCCTGGGCGACAGGGCGAGACTGTCAGAAAGTCTACTCCAGAGCTCCTGCTTGCATTTTTTGTTTAAAAATCATACTAATCATACTCTTTGTATAAGATGTCTGGGATTTAAAATACTCTAGAGCTTTGCCCCACCAAAAAAAAAAGTGGAGTGGGGGTGTGGATGAAACAAGAATGGTAAAATGGTGACTGATCTATGATACTGTTCAGGTTTTCGTATTTTAAAATGTCCATTAAATAAATACCCTCCTCCAGAAAACATTTCCCTCCCTTTCTTCCCCTGCTCAGTTGTAATTCACATTTTCCCTTTTACTTTATCTCTACTGGGCACAGCACATCTTACTCCAGAGGCACAAGAGGAGGACATCCCATGCGGCTACTCCTGCCCAGCGTGGTGGGGCAGCAGAAGCTCCAGAGCCCAGACTTGCAGGTTTGCTATTTTCACTTTACCCCATTTGTATCCAAAACATAAGGACCCTGTATATGGGGGTATTTTAACCAAAGTTCTGAGTATTTATGATGAACTTTCATCTGCTAAGAAGAAAGTGACAGCTGACCATTTTGTTTGTGTCCTCTCCCGCATCTGTTGAGCGACAAGGGGCTATACTGTACTAGCAACTAGACCTAATCTCCAGTAAGGCTGGAGACTGACCTGTGGCCCCTGAGAGAAGTCGTCAGTGCTGAGGCCAGGTGAGGAGGGCAGCCACATTGTGCTCTTGACTAGAGGGCATGTGAGGTTCTGTGCACATACTACAAAGGCTGACCCTGTTCCCAGACAGCTGCCCGGAGCAACCTGTCAGAAGAATTCAGGGATATCATGTGAGACAAATAGGATAATAGAGCAGATTTGGTCTCCGTAAAGGAGTTTTTCTGCTACTCCAGATTCTCAGATTCCTGTGGCTGAGACAGTGAGGAAATGCTGCAGAATGTTCATAAACAATATGTTTTTCTTGATCAGATTCATCATATTCAAACCTTCACAAACAACTTGGATATCCTGACAATTATTATAGAATGGATGCCCCTTGATTCTCCCCAGCCTTTCCTGAAAATGGGAAAAGTGTTCTTGGATAATGCCACCAACTTTTAATAATGTTTTTTGTGAATTATCTATGCTCCCGTTTTTACCCCTTTACTGGGTCCTGAGTTGCTTTCTCAACTTTGGGGCTGTATACTGGCATGGGGTAGTGTGTTTATCAAGTGCTGTCCAAAGCCAAGGAACAATATTTTGGGGTTTCTCAAATACCTTCCCTTGGCCAGGCCCCAGCCCCTTCAGTAACTTCAGGGTCTGAGCCCTTTGCCTAGGCTGTTGCTGCTGGACCTGTTTGTGCTTCATCACATTACCCGCTTTGTTCTTCCAGCCCAAGTCTGGCTGGGTTCATGTCAGTGACTCAGGAAAGCTGGGTTTTGGAGGAAGGCGTTGGTATAGTCTAAACGCAGGGGACTTCTCACTGCCCCATCCTGCCTTGGTCATTTCCTAATGCATCCCCAGACAAGGATCCCCATCTAAGGCCAGCGAACAGGCTTGGCGTTCCTTTCCCTCAGAGCAGTGTTGATGGTTCCCAGGCTAAATGCAAGCTCCCCTTTGAATCCATTCCTGTTTGTTCTCCAGGACACTTGTAGTTTCCCTCCTGCCCTTCCAAGTGGTTCAAGGACACCCCCTCCCTATTTCCGGGATGCCCATGGCTTTGCTTTGTCTTGGGGAAGGGAATCCTGGAGATGGACTACCTAAAGAAGTTATAACAAATAGGGAGTTCGTGTTCCCCTCTCCATTCCTTAGGAGCTGCTGCAGAGGCTCACAATGACCTTCTCCCCACAGGCTCACGGTGCAGGGTGAACCTGGCCACAGCTCACCCTGGAACAGCCACAATGTCTGCCCCTTAGAGAAGAACCCTGAAATCAGACCAGTTTTTGCGGCCTCCCCCTTTCCTCTCTGTTACAGTGCCCTTTCCAGGCCTTAAGAGAAGTAAAACTTAGCTGCAGCGTCAGGAGGTGGACCCCAGAGTGTGAGTGGCACGCTTCCCTGTGAACCCGTCCTCACCATGTTTGCCACATCTGGGGCAGTGGCAGCGGGGAAGCCTTACTCGTGCAGCGAATGTGGCAAGAGCTTCTGCTACAGCTCAGTGCTGCTGCGACATGAACGAGCTCACGGCGGTGACGGCCGCTTCCGTTGCCTAGAATGCGGTGAGCGCTGTGCACGGGCTGCTGACCTCCGAGCGCACAGGCGCACGCATGCTGGCCAGACCCTCTACATCTGCAGTGAGTGCGGACAAAGCTTCCGCCACAGCGGCCGTCTTGACCTACACTTGGGCGCACACCGGCAGCGATGCCGCACTTGCCCCTGCCGCACATGCGGCCGGCGCTTCCCGCACCTCCCGGCGCTGCTGCTACACCGGCGCCGCCAGCATCTGCCAGAGCGGCCCCGCCGCTGCCCGCTGTGCGCCCGCACCTTCCGGCAGAGCGCGCTGCTCTTCCACCAGGCGCGGGCGCACCCCTTGGGGACAACCTCTGACCCTGCTGCCCCACCCCACCGCTGCGCGCAGTGCCCGCGAGCCTTCCGAAGCGGCGCCGGGCTGCGGAGTCACGCGCGCATCCACGTGTCCCGGAGCCCCACGCGACCCCGTGTCTCAGACGCCCACCAGTGTGGCGTGTGCGGCAAGTGCTTTGGCAAGAGCTCTACGCTGACGCGACACCTGCAGACGCACTCGGGGGAGAAACCCTTCAAGTGCCCGGAGTGCGGCAAGGGCTTCCTGGAGAGCGCCACGCTGGTGCGCCACCAGCGCACACACACGGGCGAGAAGCCGTACGCATGTGGCGACTGTGGACGCTGCTTCAGCGAGAGTTCCACGCTGCTGCGCCATCGGCGCAGCCATCAGGGCGAGCGGCCACATGCGTGCGCCACTTGCGGCAAGGGTTTCGGGCAGCGCTCCGACCTGGTGGTGCACCAGCGCATCCACACGGGCGAGAAGCCCTTCGCGTGCCCCGAGTGCGGCCGCCGCTTCAGCGACCGCTCGGACCTCACCAAGCACCGGCGCACGCACACGGGCGAGAAGCCCTACCGCTGCGAACTGTGCGGCAAGCGGTTCACGTGCGTGTCCAATCTCAACGTGCATCGGCGCAACCATGCCGGCCACAAGCCACACAAATGCCCCGAGTGCAGCAAGGCCTTCAGCGTCGCCTCCAAGCTTGCACTGCACCGCAAGACGCACCTGGGCGAACGGCCAGCGGAGTGCGCAGAGTGCGGCAAGTGCTTCAGCCACAGCCGCTCGCTGTCACAGCATCAGCGGGCCCACACGCGCGCCCGCACCGCTGCCGCCGTTGCCATCCAGTCCGCAGTGGGCACTGCCCTCGTCTTTGAGGGGCCGGCTGAACAGGAAAAGCCAGGGTTCTCTGTGTCCTAGTTGAGGGAGGCTTGCTGAGGCTTCTCTAAAGGTGGTTGGGCAAGCACCTATATAGTATCACGGGGACAGTTGAGGCAACTCGTAGATGGAGATTTGGGAAAAGACGATGTGGCCTCCTACCTTTCCAGTTTCTGTTGGCAGCCCTTCACGTAGCCTCCTGCCTCGCCTCTACACCTACTACCCTGTCGGCCCTTTTGCCATGCTGTCCTCGTATAACTCGGATTCTCTCCTCAGGTGTAGGTGCAGGGAGTCAGGGAACCCTTAGACTCCCCTGTGTGCAAGAGCCCAGGTGTTGGTGTGTCCCTTTAATGCTACTGTGCTCTCTGGTGTTTCTGATTTTCCTGCCTTTATTCTGTCTTCTCTTGTCCTATCTCATTCCAGCCCACATCTTCTCCTTTCCTGATTACTTTTGTTGTCCTGCCTCTTCAGGTAATGGTCACAGATTTGGCTGTAGGCACGTTACCAGCCCTGTGGCTTCTTGACTCTTGGTTCCCTGTTAACTCTGTTTCTGAGAAATGTGGGTATGGAGGTGGGTGGGAAAGCTCACTTCCATGAAGGATGTCTCCATGCTAGGAGCTGCCTGCACCCTGGCAGAGGTGGCCAGTCACGTGAAGGTGGGCAGGGCCCTTAGCATGGCCACACATGTCCCCAGGGCAGATCAAGGGGCCTCTCAGAACCATGTTCCCCAGCCAGGTGAGGACCATTTTCACTGGGACCCAGGCCAAAACCATGTGGGTGCACAAAGCCAGGCACTGCCAAGTGGAACATGAGGTTATTTCCAAATCATGGGAGCCACCAGCAGGGAGAGGGCAGGATGGAAAATCCCCTGGAGCCGGTCAACTTTTTGCTCATGGCTAGTGAAATAAAGTTGTTTGAGTACTAGATGCCAAGTGCCGCCTTTATCAAACCTAAGGCTGCTGACCAGAGTTTGGAAGTGATCTAAGAACAGGTCCATTCAGTTCCAAGGTCTCTTGTACCTTCCCAGGGCAGCTCAGTGATCTTGCATGGAGGACCACTTGATTCCACACTAAAAGGTAAGACTTCAAGGCCTACATATTGGGTTTTCTCTGTTAATGGCAAGTACAAGATGGCTCAGGATCATATGCCTCTATTTCTGCTCCAGCCAGTCGGCCAGGAGTGACCCGGCAGTCTCCAGATTATCCCCGCCTGCTCTATTTGAGTGTAAGGGTGTGTGTCTTACTCCACAGGAAAGGGCTGCAAACTGTCAAAGTGAGTCTGGAAAGGGTCAGAGGTGAGGGCCTGCAGAGAGAGAAACAGGACCTGCACCTAAGCTGCATTCTGGTACATGGTTTCAAAGGGATCCAGGATTTCTGCACCTCAGGTGCCAAAACACTTGCTCTGCCCACACATGCCTGCATAAAATACTGTTTATTTTGTCCTTTAGGAAGACTAAAGTAGTCCAGCTCCCCTACAGCCCAGTCTTGCCCCCACCCTGCACTCTGTCGCCTTAGTTCCTGGGGACCAAGCATCTGGCATTTCTCAAGCAGACCCTCTCCTTGTTGCTCCTTTTCAGTCCCTGGAGTCTGGCTTCCCAAAGCCAAAGCTGGAGGAGAGCTCATTGCTGAGGAAGCAGGGTTGGAGCCTGAGGAGATGCAGAGGGCCTGGACCCCTCGCTGGATCCCAGAGGCCCAGGGGCAGAGATGCTGGGACAGGGCTCTAGGGGACCACTGGGTGACTCTTGAGGGGCTAGAAGCAGGGCTGGGTGACTTTTGCTACGGTGGGCTGCAACACTGTCTGGCTTCTCAAAGCGCTTGCCGCAGAATTCACAGGGGAAGCGCAAGGCAGCCACCGTCTCTGCATGCTTGCGCTGGTGCCAGTTCAGGGAAGCCTTCTGGCGGCAGGTAAACCCGCATATCTCACACCTGGAGTCAGGGACAGAAGAGGGAAGGAACAAGGCCTCAGGCCATCATGACTTCCCTAGGGGGTTCCTCCTGCTCCCCACTGCCTAGGTGTCCTATATGCCTAGCTTCCAGACTCCACCTCCTCCCTTCTAGCCCCTGGCCCTCAGACCCCACCCCAGCACTCACTGCAGGGGTTTTTCTCCAGTGTGGATACGTCTGTGGATGACAAGGTTGCTGCTAGTGCGGAAAGACCGGGCGCAGAACTCACAGATGTAGTCCCGGGTGTCTGCAGGCATATGAGGGACACTCCAGCATCTGCCCCCACCCTGTGGCCCCTCCTTGGCCCACCCCACCCACTGTCCCTCACCAGAGTGCACCGTATTGGAGGTCAGGAGGCTCAGGTTCTAATTAGTTGTTATCCAAATCATGGAGCCCGTCTGGACCTCCCTTACCTGATGGGTCATGACAACCAAGTAAGATACGAACCCAGCTAAAAGACTTCATTATTGTCCACCCCAGCCCCTGCCCGCCAATCCCACTCAAACCAATGAACTCCTGATGGAAGTGCACCACCCCACCTCAGCCTCTAGGCTGGTTCTTTCTCAAAGGAGACACATGGAATGGAGAGCTGGGTCCTTATGTATGAATTGAAGGCAGTGGGCAGCAGCCAAGCAGAACCTTGGAGTCAGCGATGGGAATTAGGATTGAAGCTCAAGGCCCAAGGACAGACCCTGGCACCTGGAATCATCTACCACCTATTTAGGCTTGCATATCCCACCTGTCCCAAACCCTATCGGTGCCCTGTGGAGCTACCTGTCTGCAGGCAGCCAGTCCCCTCTCCTCTTTTTCCCTGAGCCTGCACTCCCTGCTTGTTCCAATAGCACCTGCCTGTTGCCCATGGTCACTGTGTGGCAGCAGCTCTCACAGGCTGCTGTGGTTTCTCTAACCCACCAAACCTCAGGGTGTACAGTAAAAAAGGTGTCTTTGCTTCTCATGGTGCCCTTTAGACCACCTCTAACATCCCCACCTCTCTGAAGACCGCACCATCAGACCACACAAACACACACCTGCAGCCTCCTCCTTTGGCCCCATCACTCCCCCTCCATCCACACAACTCTAGGTTCAGCCCCTCTACTCCTGTCAGCCACTACTCCTGCTGTCAATCAGCACTCCAGCCCTCTGTTCCCTCACCTCACTGACCTCATCGCCCACCCTCCTCAGCCACCAGTCTCAGGTCACACCCATGCACTGCACCACTTCAGAAATTGCTATTTCTTCTAAGATACAGTGGGTTAGGAGGAGAAAAAAAAGAAATTGTGATTTCAAACATCCTGGTTCATGCCAGGGCCTCCAATCTTGTCCTCTTGCTATGATAATCCCATGATTCCAGGCCAGTCCACTGGCCCCACCATCTTCCCTCTGAGCCCCTTCCCCGCTCAGCTACATTTCCACAGCCATCTTTGTTGCCTTCTTTCATTCACACTACCAATCTTCCTGTCCCTCTCTCCGTCAACTGTACTTGCTTGGTTAAAGCCCAACTCAGGATAGACACAACTTTTGGTCTGTTCCGGGCCTGCACATGTGTACTGTAAGGGCAAAATCTGCCTCTTGGCCACTCTTTTCATCTAAAACCACAAGTCTTAAGGCCGCCTTCTTGCCCTACTGTGTCTGCATTTCCCTCATCAGTTCACTTTTCCAACTTTCTAGAAATACAGAAGACATTTCACACCACCTCCTTTCTCCACCAGCCTCCAACACCCCCAGCCTACTAGCCTTATTCAGCAGTGCTCTTGTTTCTAAAGTCGCCAAGAAACTACAACACCCACATCTTCTGCCCACCAAATCCACTATTCAACTTGCATCTGTGTCTATATAAACAACTGCTCAAACTGTTCCCCCGGCAGCCCTCCACTGTGCCCCTCAAGACCAACCCCTTCTCACTTGAGGTCCCCCACCCCACTCTAGCATCAGCAGCAAGCCTTTCTCTATGGAATCATTCCCATCTCCATGCCCTGAGCCCACAGCCTTCCAGCTGGGACTCCATTTCTCTGCCTATCTTCACAGCAAAACAGAGTTGTCCATACTTGCTGTCTCCACTCTGCCTTGAATGCACTCCGTTCCGGCTATCCCCACAGCTCCACTGCCCCTCTTGTCAGTTCCATCTTGTCATCTGGTGGCTTCACCACTGCCACATCTGGTCTCCTATTCTCAGCTCACATTTGGCCTGTCGCACTAGCAATCATCCCCCCTTCCTCCCTGGAGCATTTTCTATACTCAGTTCCTCAAATACCACTCTCTTCATCTTCCTCACTACTCACCTGACCTGCCCTCTGATGGCTAGAGTGCCATGACACTCACTTCCTCTATGTAGGGACACTCTGGCCTCATGGCTCTAAACACCACCCATATGCTCATGACCCACACATTTATATTTATATTTTTGCCTGACATCTCCCCTGATCTCCACATTCACATCTCCTGGATGTTTAATTAGCATGTCTCAAATCAAATTTCCCTTCCCAAGCCCATTTCTCCCTTGTTTTCAGAAAAATCACATCACCTTCTGCCCAGTTGCTGAGGCTGGAATCCTCCAAGTTACCCAACTCCTCCCTTCCCACTCGACTGCAGCCAACCCATCCTTCCCACGGCAGCTCGTTTGGCTCCATCTGCACACACACTGGCCTCCATCCATTCCTCACTGACTCAGCTGCTACCAGCAAATCCAGGCACCACCTTGCCCTCTTGCACATCTCTGCAGTCATCTCACAGTTGAGTGCCTGGTTCTGCTCATCTGAGGTCCCCCTGTTCACACAGCAGCCACAATGATCTTTTAAAAAGCCATGTCCCTCTGCCATTCAAGACTCTGCGATGGCACCCATCTCACTTAAAGCAGATGTCAAACTGTCCTGTGGATGGTCTCAGAGGCCTCCATCAACTATGTGACTTCTCTTCCTTTCTCAGCTCCTGGCCTCTTCCCTATTCCTGGAACATGTCACCCAGATACCACCTAAGGGCCCTTCCACACGCGCTGTCCATAGTCTGTAAGGTACAGGTTTCCATTCCTCACTTAAGTCTTTGCTCAAAGCATCTTCTCTTTCTACAATAGCAACTCCTCCTTATGCTCTCCTCCTTTCCCTTGCTTCCACATTTCTTCATAGCCCTGTATCACTAAAGTGGATGTCTCAAGAGGGTTAGCGCTGCCTGCTCTGTTCATTGCTGTACCCAGTACCCAAAACAGTTTAAAACAAGCAGGTGCTCAACACACAGGGCATACAGGATGAGGGAGAGTCATCCCTCGGAGGGAGGTGAAGAAACCCACAGAGCGGGAGGTGACAGGACCCCGTAGAGGGGGAGGTGAAGAAACCCACAGAGCCCAGGGTGACGGGACCCACAAAGGAAGGTAAAAGGTCCCACAGAGGAAGGTGGAGTTCCACCACTCACCACTGTGCAGCTTCATGTGCTCCTTCAGGTGTTTCTTAAAGTTGAAAGACTTCCCACAGGCTGGCTCTGGGCAGGAGAAAGACTTCTGGTGGATGTGCTGGTACTTTTTGTGGTGCTAGAGAAGGAAGTGGGTGGTAGGGAGAGAAGAGGCAAAAGGATAGCCACCTTCCACGGAGAGATGAACTGAGCTGACCCGGCAGGCATGCTCCTCTGTCCCCTTCCTGGCCCCTGTGCCCCAGCAGTTCTCCCTGTCATGGCCTGCTCGTTTCCTTGAGGCTCAGTCCTCACCTACACCATGAGTACCACACCCATCCCATCCTGACCACTCAACTCTCCTGTCACCCAATTCTGTGCTTTACTTCCATTATCTCACCTCCTTGTCACACTCTCACCCTGCAATGTCCTGCAATGTTCCCTGTACAAAGTATCACTCTGGGTGACACCCCTGGTTCACCTAATCATGAATGCACTATCTGCTGCAGAGGGGAAAGCAGTTTGGGTAAGTATGATCATCCTACTTGATGTCAGTATTCACGTACAACAGTATCTCCCCAACTGCTTGCTTTTTAATAGTTCACCATGGGTATATATATGATTTTCTTCTAAATCTGCTTTGGAAACACACACACACACACTCTCAACCTAGAACACTATTAAGGGTAACAGGCTCTTCAACCTTAACTCCTAAATATCAAAGTATTTCTCTTTTCACTGACCTAAGTTGGCATCCTGGCTCACTAAATTGCATGGGCTGTCCCCTTCTTTAGAATCCCATTTTTCCACAGTTAAACTTCCAGGGGCTGCTTTGATCTTCTCCACAGCAGACTCCAGAATGTCTGACATGCCCTGCCGAATGCTCTTCTCAGCCTAGAGCTTCCCTGTCATCCCGGGTCATTTTCCCTTTTCACTTGATTCCTCTCTGTCATCTTCTGTGGGCGGCATTCTCCCCTGTCTGTCTACCCTCACCTCACCATCCCAGTGTCTGTGGCCCTCCCCAGCCTTGGTACCTGCTGTGCCAAGTGCTCTGGTTGACTGTAGGGATTGGACCCCTTGCCTTCTGTGCCTCAAATTTCTCAGGCAATGAGATTGGGGACAGGACCATCTCCCAGCCCGTTTCACTCTAGAACTACCCTCTCAAGCCAGGATATGTGGCAGCCCAGGCATGGACTCTGAAGCCAGGCCACCAGGCTCAGAACCCTAGCACTAACACACACTAGCTGAAGAGCCTTGAGCAATGCCTAACCTTTCTGTCTGCAAAGTGGGAATAATAGCAGCACCTAATCTATGGGGATATTGTGAGGACCAAAAGACTTTATACATGTCAGGTACCCTCTGCTTCCTGGTTCTGAATCCTCCCATGCCTTAAGATCCTTTTCCTCAGTTTTTCTTTTAGCCCTTTCCCCCACCCCAGCAGCCACACAGGCCCCAACCTGTGCCCCTCACATTCAAATACTGCCGGTTGGAGAAGATCCTTCCACAGCCAGGGAAGTCACAAGGCATCAGCTCTCTTTTGGCAGCTTTCCTGAGGAGAAGAATGGAAAGGAGCAGCATGACTCCTGCCTGCCCTTCTCTGCCTCCCTCCTCTCGGCCCTCCCCAGAACCCCATCTCCCTAAGTCCTACCTAATTCTCTTGGGGCCAATTTGTGCAGTGTCCTCATCCCAGGCCGGGGTTGGAGCAGACTGGGCCTGACTCCCAGTGCTACGGGCAGCAAAGAGGGAGCAGAGGGCCTCGAGGGAGGGCCACATCCCAGGACGCCCCTGCCCTTTCTGTCTCAGCCATCAGGTTACCTGGCCAGGGCCTCAGTCTGCTGGGCCGCTTGAGGGGTCCTGCTGAGCTGTGGCTGCACCCTGACTTCTGCAGGTGGAGGAGCTCTGGAACTCAATGAGGATGCTGACAAGGCCGGCACAGCAAGAGGACTGGAGAGTGCTGCAGGGGCTGGTGGTGTCTCCCCCTCTTTAGGTGTGCAGGTGACAGGGGAAGGCAGTAGTCTGGGGGCATCAGGCTCACTACTGAAAGGAGAACAAAGAGGAAGATGGCATTAACTTTCTGGGCAGTCAGCCATCCCCTGCCCGACCCTAGCCCCTAAACTGAAAAGATCTCAAACTTGAAACAACCCTACCCCCACCCTAGGCTCCCCATTCATATCTGCTTTCAGCCCTCAATCTCCCTGCACCTGACTTCACCCCTTTTCACCCCCTCAGTTCAAAGCCTCTAGTTCTTTTTGCCTTCCCCAAAACCCACCCTTCCCTCCACACTAACAAGCCCTTCCCTCTAGTCTGCAAAGCCATGAACTGCCAGGCCAGCTGCCTCCCTCTCTTGCTCTGCTCATTCTCCCTCAACCCCAACTTGCTCATCTGGGGAGGAGCTGTAGGTCCATAAGCTGGCATCACTGAGCATCTCCTCTTCATCCTCATCATTGTCCTCTTCTTCCTCACCCTCTTCCTCTCCTGGAGGTGGGAAGGTCTCTGGTGGGGGTCCCACCCTCCTGCAGGCCCAAAGAAGGCAAGCCTGAGGTCCTGCTCCCTCATCCTCCCACCTATGCAATTCCGCCTTTTCTCTCCTATCCACATCCTCACCTGGGCAACCTGGCCTCTTGAGTCCTCTCATCATGCTCAGATTCCAAATCTGTGGGACAGGCAAAGTCAAAAGAGAAGGAACTCTGGACTCAAGGGATGAGGACACATAAAGTTCTAAGGTCTGAAGTGATGGGAGACTCCTCTTTTTTTTTTAAATAGAGACGGGGTCTCACTATGTTGCCCAGGCTGGTCTCAAACCCCTGGGCTCAAGCAATCCTCTTGCCTCAGCCTCCCAGAGTGCTAGGATTATAGGTGTGAACCACTGCACCCAGGCAGAGACTTTTAAGAAGGAGGAGGAGGGAGCAGAGGCTATCTGAGTAGGAGGAGTTGTTCTGTTTCAGAGATGATATTCACATAGTTCACAAAACTATACAGTCAAAAATCTCCTTTCCAATACTGTCCCCCATCGCCTACTTCTTCCCATAGGCAACCTGGTTTTCTATGTGCCTTCCAGAGATATGTCATACATTCGCAAGTACTTACACATACACACACACACATTCACTTTCCCCTTATTTGTATTTTTCACCAATGATAGCATACCATACACTGTATTTTGTTTTGCTTTTCATGCCCAACAGTGTATTTGATGATATATTTGTCAAGATAGAGTTTTTCCATTGAAAAAGGATCATTTTTAGAGAACAGGGTTCTGAGCTACAGAAAATGGGAAACGTTTTTCCTCCCTTTTCTCCATAACTCTGCTTTTTTCCAGCCTACCTGCAAGCTCCTGCCCACTCGTGGCCTCGGAACACCAACTTCTCCGAGTAGTATGTGGAAGGGAGGCTGGCTTGGGTGCCTCTGAAGGTGTAGGGCTCAAAGAGGGTCCCCAGGAGAAGGTATGGCCTGCTGAGCACTCCCACACAAGCCCCCCATCTTGGCCGCCAGGCCCCCGAAGCCCGGGCACCAGGCTGCACTCTCGGCTGTGGGCATGAGACAAGAGCACCAGATACTGCAGACCTTTTGGAGGCAAAGGCTCAGGACCTGGAGGGGTGGGGGAAGCAGTCAGGCTGAACTGGGAAGTCTCCTCCTCTTACCCTGGAGAGCCATACCCAGGGAGCCCTGTTCCCTCAAACCCCAGGGCAACCTCAGCCCCAGTCCAATTTATCATTCTTCAGAACCTAGACACACTAGATCCTGAGACATTGCTCCCTTCCCCACCCAGAGGTTGCCTCCATCAAACTACCCTGTGCTCCCCAACTCACCCCACCCTTCCCAAACTTACTCAGGGCTCCCTTTGAAAGGAGGGTGTTTCTGGGTCACCCTGTGGTCCCTCTTCCCTCTGGCTCTCACCCCCTGCCATCCCCTACCTACCTGCACAGAGGACACAGCCTGAAGAAGTGTACCTGCCAGCAGGAGAAGAGGCAGGTCAGGACTCAGGTGGCCAGCCACCCTCAGCCCTGGGCACTCACACATGTAAGGGGCCAGCCCTAAGGGCCGCTATTCGCTGAGACCATGAGGAGGGGAGCAGGACCCTCGGAGGCCACAAGTCACACAGGCCGTCCTGGTAAAGTGAGAAACCTGAGGGTGGAAAAGAGCAGCAGGACAGGCCCTGGAGAGGAGGCTAGGGGCTGCTGCCTGGGTACCCTCCCCCAAGCCCTTCTCCCGGCCCCTAACCGGTCCAACAGGAACTTGGCGAGCTGCGAGTGCAGGGAGAAGCCCAGCCGCTCCTTGAGGAGGCACCACTGCTCCATGTGGCCGCCCAGGCGGATGCGGCACTTGCTGCGGCGCGCGTCCAGCTGCCGCCGCTTCTCCCGCCGCCTGCAGGACACGTCCACCGCCGGGGAGGAAGCCATGTGCACCAGAGGCTGGAGGGTGGAAGGGACGTCTTCAGCGCCCTGCCGATCTCGGGGGTCGGGGACCCGGCTCCACCTGCCGTTAGGGCCTCAGTTTCCTCATCAGTGAACTGGGGCAAGACTAAACTATTTCAATAGCAGTGGCAGGTGTGGAGCCAAACCCCGTCCTTCTATGATACAGGGTGTTGAAGCTCAGCGCTACCATGTGAGTGTCGTCGGGTGGGAGGCAGGCAGACAGAAGCAGTCAGAACAAAGGCCTGCGCCCTCCAGTCCACTGAAGTGGAGCTGTGGGGAAGGGGCGAGAGACTTTCACGGGAAATTTCAACTGGGCTGGGGGCGGTCCACACATTTCATCTTGAATAGGGCAGCGGCCTTTACTGGTTTCTAGGGGAAGGAAAGGTCGTGTCCTGGCGTGCAGCTGGGGGCGCTCTTCATAGTTGGGTCGAGTGGCGGTGAGGCCGTGGTCAGAGGTCTGGAGGGCGCCCCCCATCCACCCCGTCTTGGGCACCCCCACTTAATGCTGACAGTGAGTGGAGCGGACTAATCCCAATGGCAGTTCCCAGGCTGCCCAGAGCCCCCGTCGCGACCCACCCCCACCCCGGCCTTACCTGTGCGCCCCCACGCGCCCTCACCCCCACTGCGCCTGCGCCTGCGCCTCCCGGGCCTAGCGAGCAGGCCCGGAGCTGCTGGAAGACAGGGGCCCACCTCGCGCGCGCAGCGTTTCTCTTTTAAGAAGAAACGGTGCCTCTCGGCGTCGGCTGCTGTAGCCCGGAACTGAGGCCCGCGCCCCAGAGGGAGGGGCGAGTCGGAGGCCGACGCCGTGCGCCTGCGCACTGGGTGCCCCGCGCAACGCCCGCCGGGAATCGTGGTTGCCCGACTCAAGTCGCCCGCGCGTGTCGCGGAGCCCCGCGGCAGTTGTGGTTGGGTGGCTTCTGTGGTGAGCGTCTGCGCTTGGTGACCAAAGGTTTGAGGGAAAGTGGAAGAGACAGGGTCAGGCCTCCTGTGCTCCAACCCCAGCCCACCCGGCCTGTATGGGGACGTTGCCTCTTCACTTGTTCCCGTTTTGTATTCACCTTCGATTTCCCCCTCACAGTTGCCACCCGCAAACATGATGCAGAATCAGTCACTTTGAAAGACCCACAGAGGGTCCAGCTAGAGCCCTCTGTGGACCGCAGAGTCCCACCAGCTACAGCCCACTTCTATTACCATCAGAATTCCTCCTAAAAGTTGCCTGCATTCTCTGTGTACGCTCACTTCCCATCCTCTTCTCTTCAAATGGCTCTGATGGAGCTTTCCTCCCCACCCAGCCACTGCAGTGGCGCTTCACAAGGTCACTTGAGACGGTCATATTGCTACATAGCAGCTGTCAGTTCCGTCCGCCTCTCTGCCCTAGAAAGAGCGCGACTATGTAGCTCTCGTCCTCCTCATCTTTATGGCTCCCTCTACATTTTGGGCCCCAGTTTTACTTCTGTGACTTCATATGCTCCAGGTTTTCCACCCTCCTCACTGGCTCCTTCTATCCTTTTTTTGGATCCATTCCCTCTGTTCTGCCAAAAGATGAAGTGTGCCCTGGCTCAGGCCTTGAACCAGATCTTCTCTCGTCTGCATATGTTCTCCTGGGTGATCTAATTAGTTCCATGGCTTTAAATACACTGATGGCTCCTAGCCTAGCCCTCTTTCAACTCCAGTCATATATCTTACTGCCCGCTTGACTTACATGTGTTAACTGAGCTAACACGTGTAAAGAATGTAGGACAGTGCCTGGCATGTAGAGAGCGCTGACACATGATAGCTGATATTTTCTCCAACATAAATATGGCAAACATATAACAATAACGCCTGTACCCTCCCCCATGCCAGTAAACTATGTCATCATCCACCCACTTGTTCAGAAAAAAGGGAATCAGCCTTGATTCTTTGCCTTTTATGATACCTAAACCATATACATCAGCAAATCTTGTTGGTCCTGTCTCCAAAAATTTATCTTAAATCCAATCACTTCTGACCCTCTCAACTGCTAAAACCCTACTCCAAGCCACTGGTATTAATTTTCTGTAATTGTTGTAACAAATTGTGTTGTGTGTTGTTTTCAGCCACAAACTTGCTCCCTTTACTCAAATTTATTTTCTCACAGTTCTGGAGGCCAAGGCATCAGCAGGGCCACAGGCCATTGTAAGGGCTCTAGGGGAGAATCCTTTCCTTGCTTCTTCTAGCTTCTAATGGTGGCCAGCATTCTCTGACTTGTGGCCACGTCACTCCAATCTCTGTCTCTGAGGTCACATTGCCTCCTTCTGTGTCAAATCTCCCTCTGCTTCTCTCTTACAAGGATGCTTGTGAATGCATTTAGAGTCCATCCTTATAATCCAAATAATCTCTCCATCTCAGTATCCTAAGACAATTTCTTCTGTAAAGTATTTGCCATATAAAGTAATCGGCTGCACACGGTGGCTCACGCCTGTAATCCCAGCACTTTGGGAGGCCAAGGCGGGTGGATCACTTGAGGTCAGGAGTTTGAGATGTGCCTGCCCAACATGGTGAAACCCTGTCTCTACTAAAAATACAAAAAAAATTAGCTGGGCATGGTGGCATGGGCCTATAATCCCAGCTACTCGGGAGGCTGAGGCAGAAGAATTGCTTGAACCCAGGAGGAGGAGGTTGCAGTGAACCGAAATTGCACCACTGCACACCAGCCCGAGTGACAGAGCAAGACTCCATCTAAAATAAAATAAAGTAATCTCCACAAGTTTTGGGGATTAGGACACAGATATCTTTTCTGGGACTATTTTTAAGCCTACCATACCACTATCATCTCTCACCTGGTCTGTGGCTACATCTTCCTAATGGATCTGCCTCCTACTTTAACTTGTACTCTCACAAAGCAGGGAAAATTTCCTCAAAGATCAAATCTTTTGCTTAAAATCTGTGAGTGGTGCAATCCAAAATCCTTATCATGGCCTCAAGGACCTACTTAATTGGGCCCTTGGCTTCTTCTCTGGCATCATCCCCCAACTTTTCCCACTTTGTCCTCCCACCTTTTTGCTATTTCTCAAGTGTGCCAAGTATCCTAGAGGGAGTTCTTTTGTCTCTGGAGCACTCAATTCTCCCCTCAGCCCCCACCCCATCCCCCAGCCCACCACCCAGCTGTTCATCTGTTTGCTCCCTTCTCATCTTGTAAATCTCGGCTATAAGATCACCCACTCAGCTATAAAATCCCTCATTCAGAAAGCTCCCTTTCCTCAGTCATGCTCTACCTCACTGTGCCCTATTGTATCTTCTTCATGGCACTTACTTTCTGAAATCATCTCAGGGACTTGTTTGTGTGTTTGTTATTGGTATACGATGATTGTTGACTAGCCCAGCCTTCTCCTCTGCAGCCTAAATATCTCAAATGACATGGTGTGCAAACATGAACACCCTTAGGATGAGCCCAGTGTGTCCTGTGCATATTCCTTTTGATTTGTGGTATCAGTGACTCAACATACTTGTCTGACTAGTGTAAGGTAGGAAGGAAGATGTCCCAGCTACTTTACTCATTAATGAATGTGTAACTTTTCCAGCTACTTTACTCATTAATGAAAGTGTAACTTTCACATCAAAAGAGCAGGACTCCATCGAGAACAAACTTTATCCTTTCCTCATGGTCCCTTAATAGATATCTGCAAAATCCTTGTGGTTTCATCCAAGGGAATGAAAGGTCTTGTAATTCTTGGTTACTCTTAGAATGTTGGGTCTCACTTTGAGACCCAAGAACATTTTTGGTTCTCTTGGTTTGATCTTGTTTAAAATAATAAAATGAAATTACTGCCAATGCCCAGCTCTTCAATAACCGTCTCCAAATAAATCTCTCAGCCTCTCTTTAATTTCTTATATCATCTAGGTAAGGAATGAGCCAACTCTCTCAAAAACAGTCACCAGCCCCTTCCTTTGTAAGTGCTGCAAGGGAGTGCTAACATTTTAAGGAGGGGTTCTCTGTAAACATTGGTTCTCTGCCTTTAGTGACCTCATTGCAGTCTGAGACCTTGAATTCCATCTTAGCATCCCATTACAAAGGCTAAGATTAAATGTGAGCTATTTGTATTTTTGTCACTGTTGAGCTTTACAGTTTACAGACTGCTGAAACTGCCAATTCTTTTATACACATAAAAGGGTCCATGTGGAGGACATATTTATCTTCATAACATTTATTTTTCCTGGACTATGCATGGCACCATAGCGCTCTTCTTATCTCCTGCTTTGGCACAGCCAAATCTAATATTGCTGTACCCTCTGAACTTTTAGTATCTTCTCTCCAAAGAGAAAAACTACTTTCCACTCTCCAGATCCAAGGAGGAATGAGCCAAATTGCTACAGAAGTTGAGTCAACCCACTGCCCTCAAATCCTGAGATGTATTCCCAGTGGGAAAAGGAACACTCCTTCAGGACTTTGTACCCCAAATTCCACGAGACCCACAGACACCCTCAGCCCAGCCCAGCTCCAGGTATTTGCATGAACCTCCCTCTTTCTCAGCCCTCATCCTCTCAGTGACTGGTGTCTTCATCCTCCAACTAGTCATCATTGCTGGGAGTGCAATTCCGTTTCCCCTGAGCCCCTGACAACTGAAGGGTGGTGCCTCTACCCTGAGTCTGATCATGCCCTAGTGCGGCTGACCTGGGCGCTCTGTGATGCCATGTGGCCCAGGTAGGGTGGGGTGGTATACAAGAGATGCGGTTGCCCTTGCTCCTGGCTGGCCCAGCTGCCTGGGTTGGTCCTGTTAGCTTTGGCTCCGGGCCGGAGGGCAGACGACATGAAGGAGGAGGAAGCCAGCCGCCAAGAGACTCGCCGTGGTAAATTCAGCGTCTGCAGGGGTGCTTGACGCGGCGGAGCCCGCGACGCCGGCAGCGGAGCGACATGTTGCTCCTGGTGCTGAAGCAGCAGCTGCCCACCCTCGCTGTGGTTGTGCTGATGGCAGCAGCAGCCCGTCTAGGGTGGCCACTGCCGTGATGCTGGCTGCAGCGCTCCATGAAGCGAGTGGAGCCAGGAACAGGCAGAAGCCCCGCCCCCTCCTGAGTTGATAGGGTGGGACCTTCGCGCTCACGGGTGCAGCCTCTGCCGCCCGGCTGTGGCTGCCGACCAAGGCCTCCCTGTGCTCTTGGGGGCCAGGAGCAGCCAGGAGCCCGCCCTCCCAGGCACAGCTACTGCGGCTCAAGCTGTGGCTGCAGACCCAGGCATCTCTTCACTCTCCAGGGGCTGGGAAGGACCCCGCTGCCCGCGGAGGCTCAGAAATGCCTGGTTCTGCTGCCTGGTCTCTCCCCGCTCCTGGTGCCTGCTCCACGGGCTCTGAAATGTCTGCTCCCAGTGCCTGGCTGCTCCCTGCTCCCAGTGCCCACTCTCATCTCAGAGCAAAGTTGAGGCCAAGGCCGGCGCTACTGCAACCCGGCCGGGTGTGCGCACACTCGGGCAGCGCTGACATGCCAGCCCCCTGCTGCCTCGGCCCCCTCTGGACTTTGGGCGCCAATGAGCACAGGAGGGAGGCCGAGGTGAGGGCTGAGGGCAGACCAGCACTGACCTGCAGGTGCCCCTCAGCATGAACAGCCTGGGTGCTATAATGTTGTTCCTTCTGTTTTACTTCTAACTGCCCCTTCCTCCTGCTCGCCTCTGACTCTCTCATTGCATAATTTTGCCCCCTCTTTCTCTCCTTCATCTTCTCCCCTTTTCCTTGCCTCATCTCATTTCCTCCTTCTGTACCTAAAAAGTTTGGCATTTGGGCTAAAAAATGAAACAACCATTTCTCTTCAGCCATCTTCCAGCATTAAGCTTCTAATACAGAAGAGTTGGTGAGCCACCAACAATTTGAAGACATTTCTTCTAGTTCTATTCCTGTTGCATTCCCCTCCTGTTTAGTCCACTCACCAGACTATTTTTGAGTTGTGCCCTAGCTCTCTCTCCATGCTTCCACCCACCAGGACCTGGTAGATCTTACCCTCCTCACACTGCTCATTCAGCTGGTTAGAAATGAAGCCTCCCACCAGTCAGAACTGGGAAACATGGTGGGAACTAAAGAATTCTCTGTCTCCCCTTTCCTCATTGTTAGTCTTCAGTTCACTCTCTCCAGGAGCACCTAAAACAGCTTGTGACTAAACATCCCATTTGGAGCCCTGAGCAGAGACTGTGATCCACTAGATTAGGGCCTTGGGCTTCAAGCCTATACTTATTTCTAGCCTTTGGCCTATATTTAGACTTTCTGGGTACTCATGCAGAGGCTAACCACACCATGCTTTTTCCCCTAGGACAGACCATAATGAAAGATGCTTTACCTTGAAAACTAAATGGACAGGACTTGATCACAAAGCATCACCTCTCCCCTGGACTCCAGAGGATCGTTCCTAACTGCTTACTTGACACATCTATTAGGTATCTCAAACTGGAAGGTCTAAAACTGAACTCTCCCTCCTCCATAATCTGCCTCCCCTTAGCCTTCCCTTTGTCAGTAAATGATGAGTTTTTTCCTTCTATTGCTCAGGTCAAAAAATCCTTTTTGTGGCTCATTTACTTCTTGCACATCAACAAATCCTATTAACTCTACCTGCAAAATATACCCAGAATTCAAATCTTGCTTGCCACGCGGCCTGTTGCCATCCAGTCCACCAACGTGGCTTGCAGCACCTCTCAACTGTTCTCTCTGCCTTACTCTTGTGTTCTATATTCTACCCTCCACACGCAGCCAGAGGATCCTTTTTGTTTTTCTTTCTTGAGACAGTATCTTGTTCCATCACTGAGGCTGGAATGCAGTGGCACGATCACAGCTCACTGCATCCTTGAAGTCCTAGCTCAAGCAATCCTCCCATCTCAACCCCCAAGTAGCTAAGACGACAGGTGCATGCCAACATGCCCAGCAAATTCTTTAAATCTTTTGTAGAGATGGTCTCCCACTATGTTGTCCAGGCTGGTCTCAAACTCCTGGCACAAGTGATCCTCCCTCCTTGAGCTCCCAAAGATTTGGGATTACAGGCATGAGTTGGGATTACAGGCATGAGCCACCATAACCAGCCAAGGGGATCCTTGAAAAGCAGGAAAGATCTTATCACACAGCTCAAAACCTTCCTTTTCACTCACTGTCAATCCAAAGGCTAGCACCAGGTCCTCTCACTCAGTTTCAACCATACTGTCTGTTTTGCATTTCTTGTTGGCCTTTTCTTCTGCTCTTCTCTTTCCCTGGAGCCCTCTTCCCTCAGATATTTTATCTAGTCACTCCTTGACTCTCTTGAAATTTCTGCTCAAATGCCACATACTGAGAGACCTTCTGAACCACTTGCATCTCTCCCTAACCTCTTTCTATGCGTTATTTTTCTCAACAGTATGTATCACTACCCATCCCCACCAAATAATTATTTTATTTAGTCTAGGTGTTTCTGCTGGAATGTGAGCATCTTGAGGACAGATAATTTGTTTTATTCTCTGCAGCATCCCTGGTCCATGGGGCTCAGCTAGAGCAAGGGACTTTTCTGGGCAAGGCAAAAAGAACAAAGACAGATCAAGCACCTTTAGGAAAAGGTACCAAGCTTGCTGGGGCATATGGGAGACAGGGAGGTGAGGTCAGGCTGGCCAGAAGGGTCTGAAGGCCAAATAGGCCACCAGAAGCATTAGGATATGAGGGTAATGGAAAACAACCCTCCTCCATTGTTCACTTTCTCCCGTCAGACAGGACTCCAAAGTGATAAAAAATTGTCCACCTTAGGGATAGAACAAGATGACAGAAAAGGATTCTCCATTTCTTTCTTTTCTTTTTATTTTATTTATTTATTTATTTATTTATTTTTGAGACAGAGTCTTGCTCTGTCACCCAGGCTTGAGTACAATGGTGCGATCTTGGCTCACTGCAACCTCCACCTCCCGGGTTCAAGTAATTCTTCTGACTCAGCCTCCCAAGTAGCTGGGACTATAGGCACCTGCCACCACGCCCAGCTAATTTTTTGTATTTTTAATAGAGGTAGTGTTTCACCATGTTGGCCAGGCTGGTCTCAAACTCCCAACCTCAGGTGATTCCTCCTGCCTCAGCCTCCCAAAGTGCTGGGATTACAGTCATGAGCCACCGTGAAAAATATTTTCATTTGTGAATAGTAGTTCAAATTGATGTATCTAAAGGGGGATAGGAAATGGAGAATCCTGGTCCAGACACGGTGGCTCACGCCTGTAATACCAGCACTTTGGGAGGCTAAGGCAGGAAGAATCACCTGAGGTCGGGAGTTTGAGACCAGCCTGATCAACATGGAGAAACCCCGTCTCTACTAAAAATACAAAATTAGGCAGTGTGGGTGGCACGTGTCTGTAATCCCAGCTACACGGGAGGCTGAGGCAGGAGAATCGCTTGAACCCAGGAGGCGGAGGTTGCAGTGAGCCGAGATTGCACCATTGTACTCCCGCCTGGGCAACAAGAGCGAAATTCTGCCTCAAAAAAAAAAAAAAAGAAGTAAGGAAACCAGATGAGAGACCACAGCACCTGGGTATAGCAAAGAAATAAGAAGAGCGGCATTGGCTGCGCTTGGTGGCTCATGCCTGTAATCTGAGCACTTCAGAAGGCTGAGGCAGGTGGATTGGTTGAGTTCAGGAGACCCCATGTCTACAAAAAATATACAAAAATTATCTAGGTGTGGTGGTGTGCACCTGTAGTTCCAGCTACTCAAAAGGCTGAAGTGGGAGGATGGCTTGAGCCTGGGAGGGCAGAGGTTGTGGTGAGTCAAGATGCCAGGATTGCACCACTGTATTCCAGCCTGGGTGAAAGAGCCAGACACTGGCAAAAAAAAAAAAAAAAAAAAAAAAAAAAAAAAAAAAAAAAAAAAAAAAAAAAAACACCCAAAAAGGAAGAGGGGCATCGAAGATGGTAGGAAGGACAGTTTTACATTTGCCTACATCACCCTTTCTTCAACCTCAAGCAGCACAGCAGAGAGAGATACTTTCCACTTGGAGAAAGAAGAGAGAAGTGAGCACTGGACTTTGCCTTGGACCCTAACACTGGGCCCACCCCAGTCAAACCCAGCACCAGGAAGGCCCCAATATCCCCAGACACTAAGCCAGTACATGAGGTCTAAGCCTTCAAGCGTCCCTGGCCCCAGGCTGGATCCTGCATCCCCAGGTTCCAGAGCAGGGACTCAGTCTCTGGCCTCTGAGCCTACTCCAGCACCAGGCCAGCACCAGTGGCACAGGCCTTCAAGCTTACCCAAGCACTAGGTCAGGCCCTACAGACTCAGTCTCCAGACACACCCCAGGGTTAGGCTGACCCTGGTAGCCCAAGATCCTAGGCCTGCCTCTGCAGCTCCAGGCTTCAGGCCCACCCCAGGGCCAAGTTAGCACGTCTAGCCTCAGGCACCAGGTCAACACCCTTAGACCTTAAAGACCTAGTCTCCAAAATAGCACATACACACACCCTTAGCCTTCAGGCCAACCCCTGTAGACCTAGGCTTCAGGCCAGCCCTCGAGGATCCAGGTACCTGGTAAGTACGTATAATCCCAGGCTCCAGTGGACTCGGGGTCCAGGCCACCCCAGCAGACCCTGGAGCCAGGCCAGCCTCTGTGGACTGAGGATCCAGTGATACTGTTGCAGATTCAGGCCTCCAAGCCAGCCTCTGTGAACTCAGGACATAGGTTTACTCCTGTAGACTTAGGCTCCAGAGGACACAGACTCCAGGCCCATCTCAGTACCTGGCTGGTCCCTGCAGACTCAGGCTCAAGACCCACTCCAGTGGCAAGTCAGCCCTTGTAGACCTGGGATTCAGGTTTGCCACAAGGGACACAGGTTCTAGGTCCACCCCAGCAGATCCAATCAACTGGTCCACCCTAGTGGATCCAGCTTTCAGACCTGCCCGTCTGCTCATCCAGTCACTAGACCAGCAAACCTGAGGACTTAAGCAGCAGGCTCACCCATTGGCCACAACAGGCGGCCTGCCCAGAATTTCTGTACAGGCTGACTGATAGATAAAGGGTGTTTTTAGATAATCAGGTCTTCAAAGACTGGAATAAGTAGCTACTTCTTCAAATATGCACACACCAATGCATGGAACAATCAAGAACAATTAGAAATATGCATCACCAGCTGGGTGCAGTGGCTCACGCCTGTAATTCCAGCACTTTTGGAGGCCGAGGACTGTGGATCACTTGAGGACAGGAGTTCAAGACCAGCCTGGCCAATATGGTGAAACCCCATCTCTACTAAAATATACAAAAATTAGCCGGGTATGGTGGTGCATGCCTGTAGTCCCGCTACTCAGGAGCCTGAAGTAGGAGAATCGCTTGAACTCAGGAAGCAGAAGTTGCAGTGAGCCGAGATCATACCACTGCACTGCAGCCTGGGCGACAGAGTGAGACTCCATCTCCAAAAAAAAAAAAAAGAAAAGAAAAGAAATATGCATCACCAAAGGGACAAAATAAAGCACCAGTGACTGACTCTAAAAAGATGGAGATGTATAAATTGCTCAACAAAGAATTCAAAATACTTTGAATATGAATGGATTAAATTTTCCAATTAAAAAACATAGAGTGGCTGAGTGAATTAAAAAAAAAAAGACCCAACTATATGTTGCCTACAAAGCACTCACTTCACCTATGAAGACACACATATACTGAAAGTAAAGGGATAGAAAAAGATACTCCAAGCAAATGGAAACCAAAGGAGAACAGGAGCAGGTATACTTAGATAAAATAAACTTTAAAACCTTAAGTCAAAAATTGTAAAAAGAGATAAATAAGGTCACTACATAAAAATAAAGGGATCAATTCAGCAAAAAGATACAACAATTGTAAATATATATTCACCCAACATTGGGATACCTAAATATATAAAGCAATATTAATACAGGTAAAAGGAGACATAGGTTGCAATATAATAAGAGTAGGGGACTTAAACACCCCACTTTCAGCAATGGACAGATAATCCAGACAGAAAATCAATAAGGAAACATCAGACATAGACTAAACTCTAGACCAAATGGACCTAACACGTGTACACAGGACATTCCATCCAACAGCAGAAGAATGCATTATCTTATATGTAGAAAACCCTAAGGACTACACTAAAAAAGTCTGTTAGAACTAATAAATTAATTCAGTAAAGTTGGAGGATCAATATACACAATCAGTAGCATTTCTACACAGTAATAGTAAACTATCCGGAAAACAAATCAAGAAAACAATCTCATTTACAGTAGCTAAAAAAAGATAAAATACTTAAGAATAAATTTAACCAATGAGCTCTACACTAAAAACTATAAAACATTAATGAAAGAAATTGAAGAAGAAATCACTAAATGGAAAGATATTTCATTTTAATGGATTGGAGGTATCAATATTATTAAAATGTCCATGCTACCAGAGCAATCTACAGATTCAATGCAATCCCTATAAAAATTCCAATGACAGTTTTCACAAAATAGAAAAGACAATACTTAAATACCTTTGAGGAAGAAAAAACAATCCCAAAATTTGTACAGAATCAAAAAGAAACTACTCAATGATAAGAAAGCAAATAACCCACTTAAATAATAGGCAAAGAATCTGAATAGACATTTCTCTAGGGAAGACATACAAATGGCCAACAGATATATGCAAACGTGCTTAATATCACGAATCATCAGGGAAATGCAACTTACAACCACAATGAGATATTACCTTCTGGCCGGGCCCTGTGGCTCACGCCCATAATCCCAGCACTTTGGGAGGCCGAGGCAGGTGGATCACCTGAGGAATTCGAGACAAGCCTGTCCAACATGGTGAAACCCTGTCTCTACTAAAAACAAAAATTATGCTGGGCGTGGTGGTGCGTTCCCATAATCCCAGGTACTCGGGAGGCAGAGGCAGGAGAATCGCTTGAACCCAGGAGGTGGAGGTTGCAGTGAGCCTAGATTGCGCCACTGCACTCCAGCCTGGGTGACAAGAACGAACCTCTGTTTCCTAAAAAAAAAAAAAGATATTACCTTCCATCTGTTAGAATGGCTATTATCAAAAAGATGAAAGATAACTATCATTGGTGAGGATGAGGAGAAAAGGGAAATCTTGCACATTGTTGGTGGGAATGTAAATTAGTACAGCTATTATAGACAACAGTATGGAAGCTCCTCATAAAACTTAAACAAAATTACCATATGATCCAGCACTCGCACTACTGGGTATATATCCAAAGTAATTGAAATCATTATGTTCAAGAGATGCCTGCACTCTCACGTTTATTGCAGCATTACTCACAATGGGTAAGATATGGAAACAACCATAATACCCATCAAGGATGAATGGTTAATAAAATTATGTTATTTGTGACAACATGGGTGAATCTAGACAGCCTTCTGCTACCTGAAATATGCCAGGCATAGGAAGACAAATACTTCATGTTATCCCTTATGTTTTGAATCTAAAAAAATCGAACTCATAGAAAAAAGGAGTAGAATGGTGGTTATCAGAGGCTGGGAGAGGGGGGTGGAATGAGGAAAGAGGGTGGAATGTTGGTTAAAAGGTACATAGTTTTAGTTCAACAGGAGGAATGATTTCTTGTGACCTACTGCACAGAATGGTGACTGTGGTTAATAATAATGCATATTTCAAAATTCCTGCAGGAGTGGATTTTAAATGTTCTGACCACAAAGAAATCATAAAAGCATGGGAGGTGATGGATATGTTAATTAGCCTTATTTGATCATTTCACAATGTGTACATGAATTGAAACATCACATGGTACTCCATAAAGATATATAATTATTATTTGTCAATTAAAGATAAAATATTTTAAAAAGGAAAAAATATTAAAAACCTGGAAATAGACAAAAGAGATTACTAGGTGTCCTTCCCATGGAACTTGGCATTGTCTAGCAGACCTTTGTGGGATTATCTGTTTCCATTGGCATGTGCACCTTTATTAATTTTTATTGACTTGGCTATTTTGCAGCTTGGTAGGGAGGTAGAGGTTAACTTTTTTTTTTTTTTTTTTTTTTTTGAGACAGAGTCTCGCTCTGTCACCCAGGCTGGAGTGCAGTGGTGTGGTCTTGTCTCACTGCAAACTCTGCCTCCCGGGTTCACGCCATTCTCCTGGCTCAGCCTCCTGAGTAGCTGGGACTACAAGTGCCCGCCACCATGCCCGGCTAATTTTTTTGTATTTTCAGTAGAGACGGGGTTTCACCGTGTTAGCCAGGATGGTCTCCATCTCCTGACCTCGTGATCTGGCCGCCTCGGCCTCCCAAAGTGCTGGGATTACAGGCGTGAGCCACAGCGCCCGGCCAAGGTTAACTTTTAGAAAACTAATAGTAATGAAAATGGTTTCTGTCTGAGAGCAAGACCAAGGATAGCAATATAAGTAAAATTTGTCAAGAGACACAACCGATTTATCTCCGGCAAAGAAAAGATAACCCCGGAGTAGAAATCCCAACTTCCATTATCACAGTTTATTACTCAGGATATTAACCCAACTTTAATCTGTTAGCAACCTCTTTTCAGCCTTCATTTGGCTGAATTATTATTTTAAAAGTCTCTCGAAATTCTCCTTTTAATTAGTTGTAACATTGGTAACATTGTATAGGTCATTGACAAAGACCTTCCTTGACCAAACTTCAGTCAGGCGCCTCTGATTCCTGTTTTTGATTAGGCCTCTACCTTGGCCCCTATCCTGTCTTTGGCCTGTAAAGCCTAGTCTTAGCAAACAGTCCTGCTAAGTCAGTTTAGTGTGAATTCCCCCAGCCTTGATATTGATCAAGTTACTCATTCCTCACCTTTGAATTTCTCACCTTTGGTGTCCAAGTCTTTGGCCTCCAGTAAGTAGAATCTTTTAAGGCCTGTTTAGTATGTAACCCCTACTCCTATTAGTAATTTTTCCTGCCTCCCTTCCTTCCTTCTTTCCTTCTCCCTTACCCTTAATGTCTCCTATTAGTAATTTTCTTTCTTTGAAAGGCGAGCTTCATCATAGCTCACTGAAGCCTCAAACTCCTGGGCAGAAGCGATCCTCCTGACTAGGCCTCCCAAAGCACTGGGATTACAGGCCTGAGCTGCCCCACTTGGCCCATTTTCTTAGTAATTTTCCATCCACTGATCCCCCCCACCCCCCACACTCTGCTCCTTGGCTTTAAATTTCTAGTTGTCTTTGTTGATTTGGAGTTGCGCCCAGTCTCTCACCCCTATTGTAATAGTTTGAATAAAATTCTCCCTTGCTGTTTGAACAAGTATCAGAATAATTTTCTCTTTAAAGTTATTATCTTTCATCATTAGTTAATTGAATAAAATCTTGACACGTGGATTTTATATTTGTATGACATTCTTATTTTATTTTATTTTATTTTATTGTTTTGAGACAGAGTTTCACTCTTGTTGCCCAGGCTGGAGTGCAACGGCGCGATCTCGGCTCACCACAACCTCCGCCTCCCAGGTTCAAGCGATTCTCCTGCCTCAGGCTCCCGAGTAGCTGGGATTACAGGCATGTGCCACCATGCCCGGCTAATTTTGTATTTTTAGTAGAGACGGGGTTTCTCCATGTTGGTCAGGCTGGTCTCGAACTCCCGACCTCAGGTGATCCGCCCACCTCCCAACGTGGTGGCGGGATTACAGGCATGAGCCACCGCGCCCGGCTGCATGACATATATTTTAGTTTTTGAAAAATATTTTAGCAAAAGTCACTTTAGTGAGGCCTTACTTAACTGCACAGTCTAAAAATAGAACTTCTCCACCACTTCATTGCTTTTGGTTTTTCCTCACACTCTGTACATGTGATTGTGCTGGTCATCTCCTTCACTAGCAAATCAGCTCACCAAGTTGGGGCTTTGTCTATTTACCGTTGTGTTCCCAGTGGACACTCGATGTTAAGATTCAACGAATGAATGCCTGGACGAGTGGTATCTGGGCTCACAGGTAACCTCACAGCCCACCGGGAGGACACTGCCAGAGCTGCTCTGCACTGCGAGTCCCGGGCCTTCCCATTGGACGCTAAGGCACTCGTTAACTGCTGTGTAAACGCAGCCTGACTTCCCTCACCTCAGGCGAGGCCCGCATCAGGCCCCTCTGACCTAGGACCTCCCGATCCGGCCGTTATCGCCAACCGTATCTGTGTGGTTTCGTGGAGGAAGCGCGGTGGACCTTGAGGGGAGGGTACGCGCAGGCACAATAAAGCAGAAAGCCGCTATAATAATGATGATAATGAAGAAAAACAAAAGCATCCATTCGTCACTTAGTGGCAAGCGTTTTTCCAACTACTTTCCGAGTAGTAACTGCTTGCCAGAGTTTCCCCAGCTTGGGCCGGAAGGTGAGGCGGTAGCTCGAGCTTTGCCTTTCTCAGGCATTGTCCTGCGTTTGCGGGGCCAGGCGCTGGCACACGGTCACTAACCCCTGGTCGTTAGCTTCGATTCCCGGCCTGGGAGAGCGCTATCGGCCACTCCTGGCTGCATTGCAGTCGCGGCTTTCTCCAGAGCTCCGCCGGGAACGGGAAGCGCTGAAACGTCGCGACCAGTCAGTAGGGTTCCCACGGCCGCAACTCGGGTGTGACGCGGCAGGCTGGCACCAGCGGACACAAGTATGAGGCTAAGTGAGAAGCGCTCTGCTTCCGAGTGTCAGGATGGCCGAGTGGTCTAAGGCGCCAGACTCAAGGTAAGCACCTTGCCTGCGGGCTTTCTGGTCTCCGGATGGAGGCGTGGGTTCGAATCCCACTTCTGACACATTCGTTTTATTAGCATTTTATTCCCCGGAAGAAACCCCAGAATTTTCCCGGAGTCCGTTGGTATTTTATTGTCTTCTCCAGGAAGAAGGTTACAACTAGACTACTCATCTTTGCTGCCCGGTTTTCCCTGTCTGCCGCAGCAAGGGGGCTACCTACCAAGGGGAGGGAAGCAGTCTGCATATTCCCAAATGTTGCGAGAAAACCGCATCCAATCATGTTTCTATAGGAGATACGTCACAGGATATTTATTTAGTATAGCATATTGCTAAATGACGCATCATGTCTTCCCTGGTGGTCTAGTGGTTAGGATTCGGCGCTCTCACCGCCGCGGCCCGGGTTCGATTCCCGGTCAGGAAAGTAAGCCGTTTTAAAAACTGTTGCCGCAGGGCTAACCATAGGTGATGTTCCCAGAGTCAGCTATGACTTGACTTCTAAACAAAGGGCAAAACGCACCTGGTGTCCTCATTTTGCAGAGTAGTTACCTGAAATGGACTCTACTGCAGTTTATGCGCGCCGTATATGTAGTCAGTGTCTTTACTCATGATATCTTAAGAACGGAGAAAAAATGCCAGCAGCACAAAATGATCCAAAAAGATAGCTCTGGGTATGCCAAAAATGGCTGGTCTTAAAATTATGTCACAGATTTCAAAAAGTCTCCCTAGGTGTCCAAAGGCCATTAGAATGGCACCTGTTGCCTAGAGGGGCGGGTCAGGGCCGGTCCTAGCTCCTTAACGACGCTTGAGTAATTGTCGCTATGGAAAGAGATCAGGTACTTCTCCCTCACCCCAGCATCTATCTTTTCATTTTTTAAATAAGTAGAGATAATTGAAATAATGCCACAACCAACCCTGGTTTCTCTTTACCTGCAATCAACACTGGTTAATATTTTGTCACATTCTCTCTCTCTCTCTCTCTTCCAAGGTAGATAGATAGGTAGATAGAGATAGATAGATAGATAGATAGATAGATAGATAGATAGATAGATAGATAGATAGACAAATAGATAGAGATAGGTATACCTTCCCTATTCCACTTGAAAGTTGAGATCTGTATGGCCTGGCGCGGTGGCTGACGCCTGTAATCCCAGCACTTTGGGAGGCTGAGGTGGGCGGATCACGAGGTCAGGAGATCGAGACCATCCCGGCTGACAGGGTGAAACCCCGTCTCTACTAAAAATACAAAAATTAGCTGAGCGTGGTGGCAGGTGCCTGTAGTCCCAGCTACTCAGGAGGCTGAGGCAGGAGAATGGCGTGAACCTGGGAGGCGGAGGTTGCAGTGAGCCGAGATCGCACCACTGCACTCCAGCCTGGGCGACAGAGCGAGACTCCGTCTCAAAAAAACAAAACAAAAAAAAAAAAAAAAAAAAGAAAAGAAAAAAAGAAAGAAAGTTGAGATCTGTAAAACTGTCCCCCCAACTTGAAAGTCACAGATATGCCATTACTCCATGTCACACCTAAGAAAATTGACATTAACATGCTGTCATATGCTAGTCTACATTCGAATTTTCCCCAATTGGCCTTAAAATGTCTTTTACAGCTGCTTTTAGTTTTTATTCTAAGTTTTTTATTGCCCATTTTTTAAATTTGGGAAGCCTGTGAAAAATATTTTAATAATTAAAAACTCCTAAACCACATTTAAGTTCTATCTTCTTAACATTTTGTAATATTATGAGCCTATGCACCTAATTTGTTATGGTTTTCCAAAGTTTTATTTCTCTCTGGGTATCTTTTTCAGATCTCCAGGCCAAGGCTGTGTTATCATACACTCTACACGATCAGACGGAACCAGGTCCATGCACGTTTGTGTTTTCCACAATGTTTAAAACAAATAGGCCTGTTTTAACTTCCTGAATTTCTGCTTCTTGTACTGCTGAAATGACTAGTTTGAAATAATTCAAATTGCTACAAATATTTATAGAAATTTTCTTAAATAATATTTATCTAGTGGTGGTAAGTTTGGTAAAATGGGCTGTTTGTCACATCCTTGTTCCTAGAACTGTACACATTCTGCTTGAATATGTGTGACTTTAAACTGTTCTTTTTTTTTTTTTTTCCTTTTTCTTTGAGACGGAGTTTTACTCTTGTTGCCCAGGCTGGAGTGCAATGGTGTGATCTTGGCTCACCGCAACCTCCGCCTCCCTGGTTCAAGCGATTCTCCTGCCTCAGCCTCCCGAGTAGCTGGGATTACAGGCATGCACCACCATGCCTGGCTAATTTTGTATTTTTAGTAGAGACAGGGTTTCTCCACATTGGCCAGGCTGTTCTCGAACTCCCAACCTCAGGTGATCTGCCTGCCTTGGCCTCCCAAAGTGCTAGGATTACAGGCGTGAGCCACCGAGCCTGGCCTAAACTGTTCTTTTATCAAAAACATTTTGACTGTCCTAGGTGTTGATTTGTAAACGAATCTTCATAGGTTAATTAGAACAGGTTCTCAATACTTTAGGTGGAGGGTTTGCTATTCTTTTGGTCCACTGTGGTTTCCAGTGTTGTGTTCTTAAGCAACGTATCTTATTCCAGCGTCCTGTCAATTATGCAAGGTCCAGGGTCCCAGTGTTTAACCTTGCATTTTGTAAAAGAGATGTCTCTAGCTATAAATATAGGTAAGTGGAAACTAGTCTTGTTATATTTTGGTAAATAGGCAGTTGAGCTGACCATGTAACCTTATTCCATGACCCACTGGATGGTTGGGTCATGGAGAAAAACTAATTTGACATACCTGGGTCTGTTTTTGTGACTTTATCCGTATTTATTTTAGTTCCTAGTGTTTCCCACCAGTCAATTGATTTAAATTGTATGGTGTCTCTACATCTCTGAAATAAAAGTTTGGATCATTCTGAATTTCCACTGGGCACATTGGAAAAACAACTTGATTTTGTTCATATTTGGGTTTTCTAGTAAAGTTTTCTAATATAGTCATGTTTTTTGGTTCTCTTTATGTAAATAATGTGCTAATAATCTCTGTCATTTTGTATGTGATTGTAAATGGTCCAAATACTGGGGTGAGTTAGATTGTAGCAGATTATAGGTCTGTAGTCTGTGAGTACATGTGAATATTAATTGTCCCCAAAAATCACATGTAATATTCACATGTACAAACAAAAGTTTTGTTGTAATTCATTAAAACAATATTTGTATCCAGCGGTGTCCAGGACCACCATGAGTTCCTGGAAGATGTTGACCCCAGCAAACAATAAATTTAGTAGGAATTTTGTATGTTGTTGTAGCTGCTGTGATGATTAGGAATTGGTGTGGTTTTCATGGTTGTGTCCAAAATGAGCCTGTTTTAGTTTCTGTTACACGCCATCATAGAGTGAAGTTTCCAGTTATGATGACATATCTGTCTATGTTTTCTAGAAACTCTTTGCCTAAATGTGGTTTGTATATATTGTAGCCAAGCTTGCCGTGGCTCACTGCAGCCTTGACCTCTGAGGCTCAAGTGATCCTCACACTTCAGCCTCACCAGCGGCTGGGACTACAAGCATGCACACAAATTTATTTAATATGTATACACAGGTGCATTCAGAATAAAGACCCAGCCTCCCAATGCCGTACAGAAGCTTATAGGCCATCTTGAGGTTACAGAAATAATGGGGGCTTGGATCCTGGTAAAACAGGTTATGGGAGGGGGAGAAGAAGAATTCTATTTAAGGGGCAATAAATGATTACTAGGGAGAATGATTGGATCAGATAACAGAAATTAACTTGGAAATAGTTCTCTCTGGAATTTAAATAATCCTTGGATGCAGTCATTATCTTGAGAAAGGGTGTGTTACTATGATGGCTAATAGAAGGTGAATGAGAAAGGTGATAAGACCAGTTGAGAAACTACACAAATTTGTAGCCATGTTGTCTCAAGTGAATAAAGTATTTAATTATTCTGCTGATGGCTAGAAGTGATGTTGAGGTTAAAAATATGGGGTTAGTGGCAAGTAAAATTGGATTGAAGTACACTTTCCATTAATTTTATGGAGAATATTAATGCAATGACTAAAAGAAACAGTGTAGCACCAATATTGCAGAAAGTGTGGTAACAAACCTAGGTCTAGTGAGAATTTGGAGAAAGGCTGGAGATTGGGGTAATTGTAACTTTCCTCTTTTTTTCTCTAGTCCAGTAAGTATTTCTGTGTCCATTGGCCACGATGTTCTGTTGGGAGATCATGTTGTCATTTAGTTTAGTGCTCACCTTTGAGTTACACTATTTGTATCATTGTTTTCCATATCTTTTTTTTTTTTTTTGAGACGGAGTCTCGCTCTGTCGCCCAGGCTGGAGTGCAGGGGCGCAATCTCGGCTCACTGCAAGCTCCGCCTCCCGAGTTCAAGCGAGTCTCCTGCCTCAGCCTCCCGAGTAGCTGGGACTACGGGGCCCGCCACCACGCCCAGCTAGTTTTTGTATTTTTTGTAGAGATGGGGTTTCACTATGTTGGCCAGGCTGGTCTCGAATTCCTGACCTCGTGATCCGCCCGCCTCGGCCTCCCAAAGTGCTGGGATAACAGGCGTGAGCCACCGCACCTGCTTCCACATCCTTTATGACCATAAAGGCAGTTGATTAAGGTAAGAGTGGGGGTTGCTCTTATAAAGACTTTCTCTCTTATTTAAATTAAAACACCCCAGGTTAAGAGCTTGTTGGAATGTGCTCGTTTTGTCTAAGGTTTTAAGTTCTCTTTTCGGTAGTCCATTTAATCTCTCCTTATATTCTGCTGCACTGGGATTATAAGGTATGCAGAAATTCCATTGTATAACCCATTTATCTGCTAATGCTTCTGTAGTCTTTGATGTAAAATTAGTTTCCTGGTTACTTTCAATTATTTTAGAAGCTCCATAGTACACTGCCCAATTTTCTATGGCTAAGATGGTGTATTTGGCAAATGGGTGGCTCGCCGCTATTGCTATGCCAGTCTCTGTATATGTATCCACTGTTGTTATGGCATATTTTTGTTGGTTGGAGTGATTTAATGGTCCTATAAAATCTATCTGTAGGCAGAAGTTAAAGGTGTTGGGTTTGTGTGTATCTATGCTTTAGTGTATCCATATTTCTCCAGGTTAGTTTTACATTGCTCACAATTAGCTATATGCCTTTTAAATTTGATGTCGTTACCTTTTGATTTGTCTTAACAGCCACCTGAACAGTGAGTGTGTGCCTAAATGTCCTTTCTGCTTATGTAATTATAAGAATGTTTGTAGAGCGTAAGCTGCTCACAGCGCCTGTTTAATTTTAAATTCATCTTGCTGTTTTATTATGGCTACTGGGGGTACTTGGGGTATCTCCCATTCATAGTCTGATTTTCTTCTGAGTTGTAGAGGTGGCGATGAATGTCTTCATGAGTTGTGCGGATTTCTGTGTAGCTTTAATTTGGGTACATTTTGTGTGTCAATTGTTATGTTCCCTGTTAATTCATCTAATTATCTATTAAATTGGTGGCCTTTGAATGATCTTTTTATTTTTTGTTTTTTGAGATAGGATCCTTCTCTGTCACTCAGCCTTGAGTGTAGTGGCGTGATCTCAGCTCACCGCAGCCTCAACCTTCCGGGCTCAAACTATTCTCCTGCCTCAGCCTTCCAAGTAGCTAGGACTACAGGCGTGTGCCACTACGTATGGCTAATTTTTTTTCTTATCTTTTGTAGAGACAGGGGTCTTGCTATGTTGCCCAGGCTGGTCTCCAACTCCTGTGCTTAAGCAATCTTCTCACTTCAGCCTCCTAAAGTGTTGAGATTACAGGCATGAGCCACTGTGCCCTGCCTAAGTTATCTTTTTGGTATGCTGATATGTGTCATAAATATCTTAATTCTGTTTGATGATTTATATAGTTCCTCTCAGTAAGATTCGGACCATATGTCATTGTCATTAATTTTAAAATTATTTTGTTTCCATTTGTGTGATTATGGGGCTATGTTGTTGTGACTGCTCATGAATTTGTAAATATATACACATATATATATTCTTTTGATTTTCTGATACTGAGTGTCCAAATGCTCTAACAACTGCAATCAGTTCTGCATGCTGTGGAGAGAGCAATTCATTTGACTCCTTCAGGATTATATGGTCCTGGAGTCTGAGTGCTTCTGCTGTTCAATGGGTCTGGCCTTTGGGTCATGGAAGCTGATCCTTCCATAAACCAGGTGTTTGGCAAGACATTAAACGAGACCAGGACCCATTTTCCTATATTGTCACAGATTTTTCTTGTCTTCAGAATACATTCTGGCAAGTCTATTTTTGTCTTGTGAATCTGCTCCATGAGAAGACCTGATTGACCCTCAAAGCTGTTGTCTCCACCCTGGATGTATCCATTCCATGTGAGCAGTTTTGGACCAATTTGGATACCTGTCAGTTTTCCAGGACTCAATTTTATCCAGTGAAGAAAAGGCATATGACATTTTTTGTAATGTTGTTGTTGCCAGTCAGATGCTTAGTGGTTAGGGCTTCATGTGTAAGCCGTATGTATTTTTGAATGGGCTGTATTTGTTGTTCGAGTATGGGAATTTTGTTATCTGAAATCCAACCAGTAGGAAAGATTTAGAATCTAGTTTCTATGTCCATAATGATCATGTTCTATATTCATCACTCATCAGAACTTTCAACCCAAGTTGTGAATCTGAAGATGGGTAATGCAGTGATTGAAATGTGCTAATGTAGTCTTTGAGTGTTTCAAGTTCTTGTCCATATGTGAAGTCTTGGGATTTTCTAGATATATTGGTTCCAAGATGATGTTTAAGTAAGGTGTATGCTGTCTCCAATATCCAGATAAAACTGTTAGTCTTTGTTCCTCCTGTTTGTTTTTGTCAGCTTAAGGGCTTTTATTTTATCTATTACTGTGGTTGAGATTTTTCTCCCTTCTGATGACCATCGGACTCCTAAAAATTTGCAGTTGGTGTCTGGGCTTGTGTTTTTATCTATATTAATAGTCTATCCCAATAATCTTAAATGTGTTATTAATTGGGATTTTTTCCTGTTTAATTTGTTCCCTAGTCATTATTTAGCATTATGATGTTATCTCTGTATAATATTATTAGTGACTTGTAGCATGATGTGTCTCCCACCAGGTTACTTAAGGGTATGCATCTGCTGCCTGAACCCTGAGACTGAGCAGTGAGCCAAAGCCATGGTGCCCAGCCTAGGAGCAGGGGTCCCTGAGAGCCCAAACATCCCGTGGAGTATCTGAGAACCTTCCGAGAAAAACAGTCTCATTGCTTAAACACAGTAGGCAAAGAGCCAGAAAATTAGCTTAAGCAGTTTAGAAATGAGAGGTGGTGTGGATCTCTAGAGCTATCCTACCACCATCCAGGAGTCCCTGTATGTAAGTCCAAATACATTCATTTACTTCTCAAGCTGGACTTGTCCAAGTCATTCTTTGGTTCTTGGTTTCTTTCCAGTTTGGGGGATGCACATCACGGTCCCAAGTTTTTCTTGTTATAGATGTATATTTTGATTGGTCTATGTGTGATGACAAAATGGAATGAACTATTACTGAACTATTTAGATATCCCTGTGGTAATGTTTTGAATTGGTATTGTTTACCTTCCCATGTAAAGTTGGTATATTCCTGGCTTGCTTTATTTATTGGTTTGGCAAAGAACACATCTGACATGTCTATGATTGTATAGTATTTGTCATTATGATTAATGATCTTATTAACTAGCTCTTCTACATCTGGTAATGCTCTTGGCATTTTAGTTGAGACTTTATTTAAATTTCTATAGTCAATAGTTAATCTATAGCTCCTGTTTGTTTTTAAGACAGGCCATACTGAACTATTAAAGTTATTTGAAATGACAATTGTAATAATATCTTCCTTGAGGAGTTCTACAATCTTTGCTGTTATTTCTTTAAGTCCTTCCTTTAATGAGTACTGTTTGGTGCATGTAACCTGCTGTGGTGTAGACAGTGTTATGGACTTCATTTTAATTTGAACTAGGTTAGAAAATTTTAGTTCCTCTAGTTTCCTTTAATATAAGTTAAAAAGATTTGGAATAAAATTCATTCCTGTAATGTCTTATAATTTGGGTGAGCAGTAAAAAGTGCATAGAGCAGTATAGAAGCAGAGGCAAGAAAGCTTCAAGTTTATTTACCTCTGAGTCCTTCTGTATGAATGTTTATTGTGGGATCTGGCCAGCAGCCCGCAATGCAATGGGGCTCTCTCTTTGTTCCCAGGCAGATCGGCAGGTTGAGAAATAATAGACACACACAAGATAGTGAAAGCTGGGTCCAGGGGGGTCACCGCCTTCTGGTCCCACGGAGCCAAAAATGCACGGGATATACCAGCATTTATTATTAAGTTTAGTGAGGGCAGGGGTAGGTTAGTGAGGGATTTAGGGTCATTTGATTATGAGGTTAGATGGTCACATGGGGATGAAGTAATTCTTTAACATAACATCTGTATGCAGAAGTACAGTATACAGAGATAAGAATTTACAATATAGTGTGTGCATCAGTAATTTCTAACAGAGCCTTAAAACAGAAACACAGTATTTCCATTACCTATGATTAGCAAGATATTAATCAGCAGTAACAGTTGCAGGAAAAGCTGGTTACAAACAATCCATAGAAACAGGACATGAAGCTAGACAATCGGTTAGACCAGAAATTCTCAGAAGGGAGTATGCCTTAACCCTAAAGAGGCCTAGAAGAGCCGTGGCAAGATGAGGGCGTTTATAGCCCTATCTTATCCATATGGACAGGCGCCCCTCATGTGTCTGTTTATAGGCTCTCCACAAGGGTTGCATTCCATTCCCAGAGCTATGAACATCTGTTTTCCTGGGATAGGAATCTTAGTGATGTGAAACCTCCCTGACCGCACGTCCATTCATAGGCTCTCTGCAGGGGGAAGCACATCATGCACTGTTGGCTCGTTCTGGCAGTCCAACCTGGCATTGTCTTTACACAATCCTGCATGCAATTTTGTATTTACAATAATCAGGAGCATTTCATCTTTTATTCCGTAGCAATAGTTTCAGGGGGTCTCCCTACAAATGTTTATGTCAGAATGTGGTGCATTATATTTTAGAAAGCTTACTTGTGATCCAGAGCCTTAAAAAAATGGTATGTATGTATATATTTGTCAATTTGTATATAGCTAATTGTTCATATGGTCTGTTATCCCCAGGTTTGAGTGTTATAGCCTGCACCTGGAGGGTTTCTAGTTTTTAAAGAATTTCTTTGTTTGTTTGTTTTTTGTTTGTTTTTTGAGACAGAGTTTCACTCCTGTTGCCCAGGCTGGAGTGCAATGGCGGGATCTCGGCTCACCACAACCTCCGCCTCCCAGGTTCAAGTGATTCTCCTGCCTCAGCCTCTCGAGTAGCTGGGATTACAGGCATGTGCCACTACGCCTGGCTAATTTTGTATTTTTAGTAGAGATGAGGTTTCTCCATGTTGGTCAGGCTGGTCTCAAACTCCCAACCTCAGGTGATCCGCCGCCTCGGCCTCCCAAAGTGCTGGGATTACAGGTGTGAGCCACTGCACCCGGTCCTTTGCCCATTTTTAAATGGAGTTATTTGTTTTTTGCTTGATGATTTGTTTCAGTTTCAGTTCTTTATAGATTCTGGATATTAGGCCTTTTTCAGATGTATAGTTTGTGAAAATTTTCTCCCAGCCTGTCTGTTCACTCTGCTGATAGTTTCTTTTTTTTTTCTTTTTTTTTTTTTTTTTTTTTGAGACAGAGTCTTGCTCCTGTCGCCTTGTCGCCCAGGCTGGAGTGCAGTGGCACGATCTCGGCTTACTGCAACCTCAGCCTCCCAGGTTCGAGTGATTCTCCTGCCTCAGCCTTCCAAGTAGTTGGTACTACAGGCGCCCGCCACGATGCCCAGCTAATTTTTTTGTATTTTTAGTAGAGACTGGGTTTCACCATGTTAGCCAGGATGGTCTCGATCTCCTGACCTCATGATCCGCCCGCCTCGGCCTCCCAAAGTGCTGGGATTACAGGCATGAGCCACCGTGCCCGACCCTAGTTTCTTCTACTGTGCAGAAGCTCGTTAGTTTAATTAGGTCCCACCTGCCAATTTTTCTTTTAGTTGCAATTGCTTTTGAGCACTTAGTCATAAATTATTTGCTAAGGCTGATATCCAGAAGAGTATTTCCCAGGTTTTCTTCTAGGATTTTTATAGTTGGAGGTCTTATATTTAAATATTTAATCCATCTGGAATTAATTTTTGTAATTAGGTAGAGTCCTAATTTTGTAAAAGGTAGAGTCCAGCTTCATTCTTCTGCATATGGCTAGTAAGACACAAAATTTGAGTTAAGCTGTGTTAATGAAAAAAACCAAACTCTGTAAAATATTTTAAAGTGGTTTATTCTAAGCCAATATAAGTGATTTCAGCCCAACGAAACCAGTCTCAAGGAGTCTTGGGAAAGTGCCTTTGAGGTGATCAGATTACAGTTTTTCGTTTTTGTTTGTGTTTTTTTTTTTGAGACAGAGTCTCGCTCTGTAGCCCAGGCTGGAGTGCAGTGGCGCGATCTCGGCTCATTGCAACCTTCGCCTCCTGGGTCCTGGTTCAAGCAGTTCTCCTGCCTCAGCCTTCTGAGTAGCTGGGATTACAGGCACACACCACCATGCCCAGCTAATTTTTGTATTTTTAGTAGAGACGGGGTTTCACCCTATCAGCCAGGATGGTCTTGAACTCCTGACCTGGTGATCCGCCCACCTCATTATAGTTTTTTAAAAACACATTTTAGGGAGCAAGAGTTACAGGCAAAGACAAATCAATACATGGAAGGTATACATTGGTTTGGCCTGAAAAGGTGGGCTATCTTGAAGCAGGGGCTTATAGGTTATAGATAGATTCAGAGATTCTTTAATTTCAGTTGAATGAGTAAAGCTCTGTCTAAAACTTGGAGTCAGCAGAAAGAAATGTTTTAAGTTAGGATAATAATGCTATGTAGCAAGATTAATGACCTGCAGGTGTGCCTTAAGTCATGCCTGGCATGGTCTTAGGTCTTGTTTATAATTTGATATCTCATTACCACAATGAGTCTGTTTTGTCAGTCTTATGATCTCTATTTTCAGATGAATCCTGGTCAGTTTTTGTGCCTTAAATTTAAAAGGAAGAGGGTAAAATGAGGTGTATCCTACTTCCCATCTCATAGTGGCCAGAACTCAGTTTTTTAAGTGAGACTGCAGACTTTTTTTGCAGTCCCCTTGGCCACAAGGGGTCTCTTCTGTCATTGGAGGACTTAGGATTTTATTTTATTATCATTTTTTTAGAGGCAGGATCTCACTCTTTTGCCTGGGGTGGAGTGCAGTGGCATAATCATAGCTCACTGTAACCTTGAACTCCTGGCCTGAAGTGATTCTCTCACTTCAGTTTCTTGAGTAGCTAGGACTACAGGCATGAGCCACGATGTCTGGCTACTTTTTAATTTTTTTTTTTTTGTAGAGATGGGGTTTTGCTACGTTTCCCAGACTGGTCTTGAACTCCTAGCCTTAAGCTATCCTCTCACCTCAGCCTCCTGCATGGCTAGGACTACAGGTGTGTGACCCCATGCTCAGCTAAAAATTTTATTTTTAGTTTACATTTGTTACATCAGGAATAGAAAATTAATATAGTACCCAACAGAGCCACAATTATTTTAATTTCAAAACCCAGTCTTGGTTCAGAAGCTAGACCTCCTTTGAATTAGACATGGGACTAATGAATGCACCCTCCAACCAACTCTATCCCACTTAAAGATAGTGAGGGTAGGGACCCCAGGAGAAACAGTGCTTGATGAAGACTATCTTAACAGTTCTATAACCCCCACACTCATCCTGTTCTTTATATATTTGAAGCTGACCATAAGAGAGGAATCACGGACCAGTTCCCTGGCCATTTCCTTCCTAAATTCTGCATTGAGAGATCTGTAATATCTGATGTATCTAAATTGGCAATTCAAAGTAAAGCAGAGATGCATTTGAATAACCTGCTACACATGCAAATAGTTGCTAAATAAACACATGCAGGCCTTGAGATGGAACTATGTATCACATTTTCACATCTGCCATTAGAACATAATGTCTTCCTTCTACAAAGTGAACTTTCCTACCCTGTCAGTTTACTCCTCAGTAATTTGTCTTAAGGTGTTACAAGGATACAAATCATGAATGAAAAAAAAAATAAGAAACGTGTCTTATGATATTTTGTGCAAATAATGGTTACCAAAGAAAGGCCTTGTTGATGTTAACTCTGGTTTGCACCAACTTGCCCCATGTCCAAACGAGGAAAGTGATGAAGACAGATCTCTCAGTGGCTGCTACATGCTAGGTTTTTTTCAGGAAGATTTACATTTTATTACCATAAAGACAAAAAAATAAAAATAGGAATGTATGAGTTATCAATATCACCAGCCTGATACTTGAGTGTACATTATTCATAGAAATATCATTATCTAAATCAGTCTTAGGGTGATCACCTAAATGAGTTCTCACCTCTGGGACTAATTGCTTTCTTGTGCTGAGAAGTGAGGATGACTGTTGATTTAGTACAAGAGATTAATTACTTTCAGAGCTCCTTCAGAGATCATTTGTACTCCATCTGAAAGATTGATCTGTTTGAATTCAAATTATACCACTGAGATATTGAACAAAAAGCAGCTAAAGAGAAGAAAAATATCTTCCTAGACATTGGGATAAAAGGTGGGGGTTGGGGAATCTGATTTTCATGTTGGAGAATTGCATTTTTGGAGTTTAAACTGCCCAGCTGCCCTTAGACTCATCCTGGACTCTTGCCATTTGCTTCCTCTGCCTGGGGAGACAGCACTTTGTGAATGCATGCTCCAGCTGTGTGGCCCCAGCCTGGTCTTCTGGGAATGAGGAATGTTGGCAGGAGTTGAGGGATCACCATAATAAGCTCTTATTAACTGGCGTTTCTTGGGATTCTCTTTGGAGGGTTCAAAAGGAAACTTTAAAAGCATTTACTTCCTGTGATAAAGCAGTCAACAGCAAACCTGTAGTGAAAGGATCACAGGTTTCCAAAGAGCAAGCTAATTAGAAAATCTCAAGGGGGTAAAACTCTGCAGCATGCCAGTGGTTTGGCTGCCCATTATGATATATATTGTACTCAGGATTACAGGATATATAATATTTATGTATGTTTTTATGCATGCATATGTATATGTATTTGTTATACACACATAAGCTTACTATTTATTTTGAAAATATTTTAGACTTATAGAAAAGTTACAAAAATTATAAAAAAATATAGCCTTCACTCAGCTTATCCTAAGGCTAACATTTTACCTGATCATAGTATTGTTTCCAAAACCAGAAAGTTATCACTGATACAACGCAATTGACTAAAATACAGGCCTTACTCAAATTTCCCCAGCTTTCTCACTAATGTCTAATCCAGGATCCCAAATTGCATTTGATTGACACATCTTCTTAATCTCTTTCCATCTCTGATGGTTCCTCAGTCTTTCCTTGTCTTTTTTGACCTGGACGCTTTTTAGGAGTTCTACTCAGTTGTCTTGTTGAATGGCCCTGAGTTTGAGTTTGTTGGCTGTTTGTTCATTATTAAATAGAGGACATGCATTTGGCAAGAGTGCCACAGAAGTTATATTGTACGCTTCCCAGAGCATTATATCAGGAGGCATATAATACCAATCCATCTTGTTAGTAATGATGTTATTCTTAATTAGCAAAAATGAGTTTTCAGTTAGGAGATGATGGGAGCGAAACACACCAAACCAGTAGAATGCTCCAGTCTGGACAAGAAACTGGCTTGATGGAAGGCAATGGCTTTGTAAAAAATTTAATTTTAATTTTAGATTCAGGGGGTACTTGTGCAGGTTTATCATTAGGTTGTGGCAAAAGTGATTGCGATTTTTGCCATTACGTTCAATGGCAAAAACCACAAACACTTTTGCACCAACCTAACACAAGGGCAGATTGTGTGATGCTGAGCTTTGGGCTTCTGTTGATCCCATCACCCAAACAGTGGACATAGTACTCAATAGGAAGTTTTTCAGCCCTTGCTCCTCTCCCTCTCTGCCTCCTTTTGGAGTCTCCAGTGTCTGTTGTTCCTAACTTTATGTCCATGTGTACCCAGAGTTTAGCCCCCACTACTAAGTGAGAACACATGATATTTGCTTTTCTGTTTCTGTGTTAATTCACTTAGGATAATGACCTCCAGCTGCATACATGTTGCTGCAAAGGACATAATTCTATTCTTTTTTTATGGTAGTGTAGTACTCCATGGTATATATGTACCACAGTTTCTTAATGCAATCCACCGTGGATGGTCATCTAGTTGATTCTATATCCATGCTATTGTGAATAGTGCTGCAATAAACTTATGAGCGCAGGTGTCTTTTTGGTAGAACAATATATTTACCCTTGAATATATACCCAGTAATGGGATTCATGGGTTGAATGGTAGTTCTAGGTTCCTTGAGAAATCTCCTAACTGCTTTCCACAGGGGCTGAACTAATTTACATTCCCACATAAGTATTCCCTTTTCTCTACAGCCTTGCCAGCATCTGTTATATTGTTACTTTTTAGTAATACTCATTCTGACTGGTGTGAGATGATATCTCATTGTGGTTTTGATTTGTATTTCTCTGATGATTAGTGATGTTGAACTTTTTTTACATATTGGTTGGCTCTATGTCTTCTTTTGAAAATTGTCTATTCATGCCCTTTGCTCATTTTTTAATGGAGTTGTTTTTTGCTTGTTGATTTGTTTCAGTTCCTTATAGATTCTGGATATTAGACCTTTGTCAGATGTATAATTTGTGAATATTTTCTCCCATTCTGTAGGTTGTCTGTTTATTCTGTTGATAGTTTCTTTTTCTGTGCAGAAGCTCTTTAGTTTAATTAGGCCCAACTTGTCAATTTTTGTTTTTGTTGCAATTGTTTTTGAGCACCTAGTCATAAATTATTTGCCAAGGCGAATGTCCGGAAGTGTATTTCCTAGGTTTTCTTCTAGGATTTTTTATAGTTTGAGGTCTTACATTTAAATCTTTAATTCATCTTATTTTTTGTATATGCTGAGAAGTAGGAGTCTAATTTCATTCTTCTGCATATGGTTAGCCAGTTTTCCCAGCACTATTTATTGAATAGGGAGTCCTTTTCCCATAAACACTGGCTTTGATGCATTCTAAGTGTTTCTTACTTTTGACTATGACTTATAATAGCAACAATAACAAGAATGATAAAAATAAAAAATGAAATACATGGGCCGGTAACTGTGGCTCACGCCTGTAATCACAGCACTTTGAGAGGCCAAGGTGGGCAGATCATGAGGTCAGGAGTTCGAGACCAGCCTGGCCAACATGGCGAAACCCCATCTCTACCAAAAATACAAAAATTAGCTGGATGTGGTGGTGCGTGCCTGTAATCCTAGCTACTCAGGAGGCTGAGGCAGGAGAATCGCTTGAACCTGGGAGGCAGAGATTGCAGTGAGCCAAGATCATGCCACTGCACTCCAGCCTGGGTGACGGAGCGAGACTTCTCCGTCTCAAAAAGAAAATAAATAAATAAATAAATAACACTTACTGAGCCGGACACTGTACTAAATGTTTTCCGTTTAATATTGTTTTCATTTAATTCTTACGACAAATTATGAGATAGGTACTGAGAGAGCAGGAGCACCGTCATCTCAAACAAACACTGCAAGCTCCCTTTCTAGCTTCATGCATTTCAAGGAAATCACTTATCTTCTAACTACAAGCAGCCAGAAAAGAGCAGACAGTAAAACACAGATAAGGCAGCTCGGGGACAGGGAAAGGAGGGGAGGAAGTCTCTTAGGTAACTGCCAAACTTCACCCTCATACACTGGAGCCCCAGTAAAACAGTGGGCCTTAATAAGCACATTCCTTTCCCTTCAGGTGCTCTAAGACAGGGAAGCTAAAGGCAGACTCGGGGGATATGCTTGCAGCTGCAGAAAAATGTATGGGAACAGACACAACTCTCCCTCCCAGATAGGCAAAACAAAGAGTCACAGAAGCAGTCCAAGCCTCTGATAAACTCTCCCACCCTGAATCCTTTTCTTTTTCTTTTCTTTTTTTTTTTTTTTTGAGACGGAGTTTCGCTCTTGTTGCCCAGGCTGGAGTGCAATGGTGTGATCTCAGCTCACCACAACCTCCACCTCCCGGGTTCAAGTGATTCTCCTGCCTCAGCCTCCCAAGCAGCTGGGATTACAGGCATGCGCCACCACGCCCAGCTAATTTTGTATTTTTAGTAGAGACGGGGTTTCTCCATGTTGGTCATGCTGGTCTCAAACTCCCGACCTCAAGTGATCCGCCTGACTCAGCCTCCCACAGTGCTGGGTTACAGGCGTGAGTCTCTGCACCCGGCCTGAATCCTTAAAAACTCTTACTCTGCAAGAGTGCAGCTTCTGCCCTAACTAGGTCAGAAGTCCCCACAGGTTTGTTTTCTGAAATAAACCTGTCTTCTGTCGAGCCACCCTTCATCTTTCTCTCCTCTTTCTTTAATTCTTACAGGTACTATTATTGTGTTCACCGTTTTTATGCGAAGAAACAGATGCAATGGGATTAGGAATCTTGCCCAAGGTCACAAAGTTCCTATGAGCCAGTGTCAAGATGCAAGTTTAGGCTGCCTGGCTCCTGACTATTCTACACAAACCATGTGGTCTCTTACCAGTCTAAGGGCTACAGAAGTAATCCATGTCATGAAAGGACTCAGCCCACTTACAATCACTCACCCCACACACTACATGCACCACACACATACCACATCATACACATTATACACACACCACACATACCACACCTCACAGATACACACATGCACCATACACACCAACACCGACCCCCACACACACCCACACCCAGCTACGCTACAGACCACCCACACTACACATTATACATTACACACCCCGCACACCACACATCACAGATGCACACACGCACCACACACCACACACACAACATACACCACACACACCCACACACACCACACACCTCCCCACACATCCACAGCCCCCCATCACACTGCAGATGCTATGCATCACAGATACACACATGCACCACACACCACACCTCCCCACCCCCGACACAGCCACACCTCTCTACACACCACAGACATCACACATCACAGACACACACATTCACCACCCACCACACACCCACAATATACACGCAGGCATGCACATACCACTCACAAATCACTCACGCACTGACGCATGCATGGTAACATAGACATACACTCATGGTTACATAACTGAAAAAAAGTTATGCAAACAAAATGTGTCTCTGTCAGATGTGTTGCTCCAACATTTTGTTTTGTCTTTCATTTTATTTTTTAGAGTGCTGGACACTGCCCACTACATTAATGGTTCTCTCAAGGTGGGGCAGCCCTGCCTGTAGCCAACTAGACTGAGATAACAGTATTAGCCTCTTCTCTACAAATCCAATTTGAGGCCAGACAACAGAGGGAACTCGGTGGGTGAGGACAGTGTAGACTGGCTGTGCTGTAGATATTTTTGAGAAAATTTGTGATTGTGAGTGGGGCATATGGGTTATACTTTTTGGGTTTCATGATATAAATTTTGAGAATGCTTGATTCAATGATTTGTCATCTCTTTTGCTTAATAAGAGATATATACTTTGATGAAGAGCCACAAGAGAATGTCTAAAGTACTTTTAAGAAATATTTTTGGGCCAGGCACAGTGGTGCACACCTGTCATCCCAGCCCTTTGGGAGGCTGAGGCAGGTGAATTGCGTGAGCCCAGGAGTTCAAGACCAGCCTGGGTAACATGGCAAGACCTCATCTCTACTAAAAATTTAAAAATCAGCCAGGCACAGATGCCTGTATTCCTAGGTACTAGGGAAGCTGAAGCGGGAAGATGGCTTGAGCCCTGAAGGTTGAGGCTGCAGTGAGCCAAGATTGAGCCACTGCATTCCAGCCTGGGCAACAGAATGACAGCCTGTCTTTTTAAAAAAGAAAAAAAAGTGTTTTTGAAGAAAAGTCCAATCTCTTGTAAATAAAGTCTTTATAGCTAATTTATACTTTCTAGGTAATGACTAACACAATGAAAACTAAGCTCTTTATGAAGTCTTTGCAGTAAAGGGTTGATTCAGCAGAAAAAAAGGCGTCGCCTGTGTCAACCCCAAATAACCAAAAGGATCAGAATCTAGTTTAAAGAGAGTTTATTCAAGCACAAAGTTGAGGACAGGCCTGCCTGGGAAGCACAGATTCCAAAGAATGGAAGTCAGTGCTCCAAACTGTAGATTTGAGATTGCTTATATAGACAAAGCATGGGGAAGTTTAACAGACTTTCAACATCTTTCTATATAAGGGTTAATGCATAGTTACAACAATCTGAGTAGGTCAAGGTAGTCTTGTTCCTTCCTTCCCTCCCTCCCTCCCTCCCTCCCTCCCTCCCTTCCTTCCTTCCTTCCTTCCTTCCCTTCCTTCCTTCTTTCCTTTCTTCCTTTTACTTTATTTCTTTCTTTGAAAGGCATATTTAGCATTCTACCCTGACGATGTAACGGTCATAGAGGGACTTGGGTGTCATCTGGTCTGAGTTAGTTACAGGACAATAAAGGAGGCAGTTAATCTAAAAAAAAAAAATCAGTGATTGGATGGAGGCGTGAAGGTCTGGTTTCTGGTCTCCTAGTCATTTATAGAACAAGAATAAAAATGAAGAGAGTTAAGCTGTAATCTAAGAAGCACAACTGTAAACATTCTATGTGATTCAATCTCTGGGACTTAACTTCTCCTTTGGCATAATATATTTAGAGGGTCCTGAAATTTTCTTTTCTTTCACACCTGGCTATTAAGAAGCTACCTCTAAGCCCTTGGAATATCCTGCCTGATAAAAGTGTTTTTATTTACTTGCAGCTTGGGCTACCCCAGACAGTCTATGTGAACAATATGATTTATGGTGTGGGCCTTGACTCATGCAGTACCAGCTTGACCTTTGGATGGGTTGGAGACTCAGGCTAACCACTCAGGTAGTCAATCATATCTATTTGACTCACCTCTGAGAGAAACTCTGGACACCCAGGCTTGAGTGTCCTTCCCTGGTTGACAATTGTCTATATGCATTGTCATACGTTGTTGCTTGGAAAACTAAGCACTGTCTATACAACTGCACAGGGAAAAGACAACTGGAAGTCTGTTGTGGTCTTTTCTGGATACTCTATATGTTTTACCTTTGGTCATTTATTTTTCCCAGATTTATTGAGGTATAATTGGTATCCAGAAAATGGCACATAATTAATGTATACAATTTGGACATAGGTGCATACTCATGTTACCATCACCTCAGTAAAGGCAATGAACACATCCATCAATTTCAGAAGTTTCCTTTTATCCCTTTGTTGTTGTTTTCGATAAGAACATTCAACATGAGAAAAATCCTCTAACATTTTTAAGTGCACAAAACCTTATTGTTAACTTACGCACTATGTTGTACAGCAGTTCTTCAGAACTTATGTTATGTAACTGTAACTTTATATCCATTGAATAACAACTCCCCATATCCCTCTCCCCCATCTCCTGGTAACCAGGATTCTATTGCCTACTTTTTATATGTTTGACTATTTTAAATACCTCATATAAGAGGAATCAGGCAGTATCTGTCGTACTGTAACTGACTTATTTCATTTAGTATCATGTCTTTCAAGTCCATCTAAATGACTGCAAATAGTAGGATTTCCTTCTTTTTAAAAGGCTGAATAATATTCTGTTGTCTGTATGTTTGTGTATACACATGTGCATTTTCTTTATCCACTCATCTCTCAATGGACATTTATTTGGGTTGTTTCCATATCTTGGCTATTGTGGATAATGCTACTATCAATGGGAGTGCAAATACCTCTTCAAGATTCTAATGTTTATTCTTTTGGCTACATACCCACAAGTGTTATTGCTGGATTATTTGACAGTTCTAGTTTAAGTCTTTTTTTCAGGAAACTCCATTCTATTTTCCATAATAGCTGTATTAATTCACATCTCCACCAACAATGTATAAGGTTTCCCTTTTCATTACATCTTTGACAACATTCTTTTCTTTTTTGTTAATTGATTGATTGATTAAAGACATTCTAACAGGTATGAGATGATATTTCACTGTGGTTTTGATTCCTGTTTCTCTGATGATTAGTGATGTTGAGCATCTTTTTATATGTCTGCTGGCCCTGGCCATTTGTAGGTCTTTGGAGAAATGTGTGTACTCAGGTCCTTTGCTCATTTTTATATCAGGTTATTTTTGTTTTTGCTATTTATAGGAGTTCCTTATGTTGGAAATTAACCCATCATCAGATATGTTCTTTGAAAATATTTTCTCTCATTCTTTGGGTTGTCTTTTTATTTTATGGGTTGTTTCCTTTGTAATGCTGAAACTTTTTAGTTTGATATAGTCCCACTTGTCTATTTTTGGGTTTTTTTTGTGGTTTTTTTTGCCTGTCTTTTTGCTGTCAGATATATGAAATCATTGCCTGGACCTAGAAAAGTCAAGGAGCTTTACTTCTATGTTTTCTTCTAGGATTTTTAGGGTTATATAACTTACGTTTTAGTGGTTAATCCATTTTGAGTTAATTTTTGTGTATGGTGTAAGACAAGACTCCGATTACATGCTTTTGGATGTGGATATACAATTTTCCCTATTTATTGAAGAGACTATCATTTTCCTATTGTGTATTCATGGCACTCTTGTTAAACATCAGCTGACAATGTATGCATGGGTACCTTTGCTGATTTTAACCTGTATTCTTTCACTTTAATAAGTCAAAACTCACTGTAATGAATATACACATTTTCTTTTTTCTTCTTTTTCCCTTTCTTCCCTCCCTCCCTCCCTCCCTCCTTTCTTTCTTGCTTGCTTGCTTGCTTGCTTGCTTTCCTTTCCTTCCTTCCCCTTCCCCTTCCTCTTCTCCTTCCTTCCTTTTCTCTCTCTCTCTTTCTTTCTTCTTTCTTAGATGAGGTCTCGCTCTGATTGTCACTGGCTGGAGTGCAATGACACAATCATAGCTCACTGCAACCTCAAACTCCTGTGCTCATGTGATCCTCCTGCCTCAGCCTCCTGAGTAGTTGGGACTCCAGGTGTGTATGGCCTGCATCTGGCTATTTTGTTGTTGTTGTTAATTTTTTTAGAGATGGGATCTTGCTATGTTGTCCAGGCTGGTCTCTAACTTCTAGTCTCAAGCTATCCTCCCAACTCAGCCTCCCAAAGTGTTGGAATTATAGGCTTGAGCCATCACACCCAGCCTATAACAACTTTTCTGAGTTCTGTAAGTCCTTCCAGCCAGTCATTGAACCTGAGAGTGGTCTTTGGGTCAACCAACAACAGGCCAATGTTTGGGAACTTAACAAAGAGAAAGAAGCCAGAGGAGTGTGACTGTGGCCACAGTCTGGTTTTCCTCTGATTTCACAGGGACCAGTCCTGCCCACAGAGTGCTAGGCCTCCTCTTTGGTGGTGAGTAGCCCCCATATTTGTGGCTATACTGCCAGCCCAACCTGGCACACAAAGAGGAGGAAGGACAAAGAGGAGGAAGAAGGTCTGAGTAGCAAGGGTTCTGCTGCTCAAGGAAGCAAGACTACCTTTAAGAATTGGCTCCTGTTCTGTTCCCCAATCCAATAATCATCCTCGTGTCTGGTGCTGTTAGACATTTAAGGAATTAAATATCTTAATGATATTTAAGGCTTGCAGGGTATTTTTTTTTCTTCATTATTTTGGAGGAAACAGGTGGTTCTTGGTTACGTGGATAAGTTCTTTAGTGGGATTTCTGAGATTTTGGTGCACTAAGATTTTGGTACCTGAGCAGTGTACACTGTACCCAATGTATAGATTTTTTTGTTTTGTTTTGTTTTTAGACAGAACCTTGCTCTGTCACCAGGCTGGAGTGCAGTGGCGTGATCTTGGCTCACTGCAACTTCCGCCTCCCAGGTTCAAGCGATTCTCTTGCCTCAGCCTCCCAAGCAGCTGGGACTACAGGCACGTGCCACCACGCCCAGCTAATTTTTGTATTTTTAGTAGAGACAGGGTTTCACCATGTTGGCCAGGATGGTCTTGATCGCTTGACCTTGTGATCCGCTCACCTCGGCCTCCCAAAGTGCTGGGATTACAGGCATGAGCTACTGCACCCGGCCCACTGTATAGTCTTTTATCCATCACGCCCCTCCGACCCTTCCCCCGCCCCGAGTCCCAGAAGTCTATTATATCATTCTTATGCCTTTGCATCCTCATAGCTTAGCTCCCTTATAAGTGAGAGCATACAATATTTGATTTTCCATTCCTGAGTTACTTCACTTAGAATAATGGTCTTCAACTCCATCCAAGTTGCTGCAAATGTACGGCTTGCAGTTTTATGCAGTTTTAAATAGGCTCCCTGGTTCTCAGGCCGTTGACTCAAATTGGAATTACAACACTGGCTTTCCTGGGTCTTCAGCTTGCAGACAGCAGATTTTGAAACCTCTTAGTCTCCATAATCCATAAGCCAATTTCTCATAAATCTTTTCATATATACATATATATATATATTCTCTTGGTTCTCTTTATCTGGAAAACTCTAACTCTCACAATCATGCATACGTTTATCATTCCTTATGGATATTCTTTTTCTTTTAGAGATGGGGTCTTGCTCTGTCACCTAGGTTGGAGTGCAGTGGCACGATCACAGCTCACGGCAGCCTCAAGCTCCTGGGCTCAAGCAATCTTCCTGCCTCAGCCTCCTGAGTAGCAGCACACCTATAGCTCCAGCTGCTTCTAATTGGCCATCTTGGCCCCTCCCTCCTACAAAAAACTTTTAGAGGGAAGGGACAAAATTACTGATTAGAAGCAGCTGCAGTCTTCAGCGCTCACCAAGAAGAATGAAAATGGTAAGTGCATTCTATACCTTCAACTGAGATATCCAGTTGATATTGGATGCTGGCTAGGCAGTGACCCATGGAGAGCAAGGAAAAGCAAGGTGGGGCGACAGCCCACCTGGGAGCTGCATGGAGCAAGGGGATCGCCCGCTCCCAGGCCAGGGAGGCCGTGAGGGATTGCACTACCCCACCCAGGAAATCACACTTTTCCCATGGATCTTTGCAACCCATAGATCAGGATGTAAAAAGTAAAGTAGAGGTTCCTCTTCAAAGATTTTCCTCCCCATTTAATTAGGAATAAATAGTAACTTCTCTTAGAAGCAAAATTTATTCAAAGACCTGTGCTAACATTCTTAAATATCTGCTAGCCGTGGTAAAGAAATCAAAGTACTTTATGTCACAATTTAGCCTAAATATTTGCCCTAGCATGCTTATGCTGGTCCAAGCAAGCATTAGGTGATAGCCTGTTCCTCTTCCTTATGTGAAGGTGCTTTTTACCTTTCTCAGCATTCCACCAGTTACTTCCTCCTTCCTTTGTTCCCCTCTACCTTTGCCTCTTTAAGAAAGTTCTAAGTTGCTAGCCGATCGGAACAAATACAGGATGTGAGGTCCCGTGCCAGCCGATGGAAACCAGACACAGCAGTAGGGTGGATGCGTCAGGTTATAAATGACCCTGTCTTCTTTGTTTGGTGTACTCTCATGGCAAAACTGCTGGCAAGCATACCTTTTCTGCAGTAAGTAAAAATGGCCTTGCTGAGTAAATTAAATGTATGTTCAAGTGCTATTTCTTTACGGCACTGGGGAGCAAGCATTTCAAACAAGGAGATTCCTTCTTGAGCCTATGCCACCAGGGCCTTGGGTCCCAGGCACAGAGCTGTGCAGACCTGGTGGCCACTCCAGTCAGCAGCTGCTCGGGAAGGCACAGAGATGCAGGAGTTTTTGCATGCTGAAGCTTGAAAATTCCTGTGAGGCAGGAGATCTGTCTGTTCCTGTAGGAAGGGGGCTGAAGCCAGGAACCCAAGGGGCATCTTTCAGTGGGCTCCACTCCCACAAAACCTTACCAGCTAAGACCCACTGGCTTAGAAATCCCCATGGGCCAGTGGCAGCGACTGGAGACTGCCTGAGATGACCGAGTTCCTGGGGAAAGGGGCAGCTGCCATCTCTGCAGCTCCAGTTGGCTATTTTGCCCTCCTAATGCTGGGGAGACTGGGTGGTTTGGACCGGGAGGGATTCCCCACAGTGGAGCTCAGCAGCTACGGCAGGTTGTGGCCAGATTGCTTCTTTACATGGGACCCCGACCCATTCCTCCTCACTGGGTGGGGCCTCCCTGTGGGAATTTCAGCAACTCCAGCCAGGGTTTAATGGACAGAACTCTGATCTCCCTGGGATGCAGCCCCTTGGGGGAGGGGCAGCCATGGTCTCTGCAGTTCAGCCGACAGCCTTTCCCGCCTGCTGGCTTTGGAGAGTCTGGGCAGTCCAGATGACAGGGGTTCTCCCCAACAGTGTACCAACTCCACCAAGGGGCAGCCAGACTACTTCTTCAAGCAGGTCCCCCCAATCCTATCCCTCCTGACTGAATGAGACCTCCCAACAGGGGTCTCCAGACACCTCCAGCAGCATTTGGGCTTGAATCAGGTCAATGTTCCTCTGGGAAGGAGCAGGCTGCCACCTTTGCTCTCCTGACCTCATGATCCGCCCACCTCGGCCTCCCAAAGTGCTGGGATTACAGGCGTGAGCCACCGCACCTGGCTCAACATTTTTAAAGAAAAGAATTTCAAACCCAGAATTTCATATCCAGCCACACTAAGCTTTATAAGCAAAAAAGAAATAAGACCCTTTTCAGATGAGCAAATGCTGAGGGAATTCATCACCACCAGGCCTGCCTGGCAGGAGCTCCTGAAGGAAGCACTAAATATGGAAAGGAAAAACCGTTACCAGCCACTACAAAAACACACTGAAGTACACAGACCAACAACACTATGAAGCAACTACATAAACAAATCTACAAAATAACCAGCTAGCATCATGATGACGGGAACAAATTCACAAAGAAAAACATTAACCTTAAATGTAAATGGGCTAAATGCTCCAATTAAAGGACAAAAAATGGCAAACTGGATAGAGTCAAGACCCATCAGTATGCTATATTCAACAGACCCATCTCACATGCAGAGACACAAATAGGCTCAAAATAAAGGGATGGATGAAAATTTACCAAGCAAATGGAAAACAGAAAAAAGCAGGGTTTTTTTGTAGTTTCTGACAAAACAGACTTTAAACCAACAGAGATTAAAAACACAAAGAAGGGCATTACATAATGGTAAAGGGTTCAATTAAACAAGAGGAGTTAACTATCCTAAATATATATGCACCCAATACTGGGGCACCCACATTCTTAAAACAAGTTCTTAGAGAGTTACAGAGAAACTTAGACTCCCCTACAATAACAGTGGGAGACTTTAATACCCCACTGACAATATTAGACAGATTATAGAGACAGAAAATTAACAAAAATATTCAGGACCTGAACTCAGATCTGAATCAAGTGGATCTTATAGATATCTACAAAACTCTCCACCCAAATTCAACAGAATATACATTCTTCTCATCACCACAAAGAACTTACTATAGTTGAACATGTAATCTGAAGTAAAACACTCCTCAGCAAATGCAAAAAACTGAAATCATAACAGTTTCTCAGAACACAGTGCAATCAAATTAGAATTCAAGATTAAGAAACTCACTCAAAACCACACCACTACGTAGAAATTGAAAAACCTGATCCTGAATGACTCCTGGGTAAATAATAAGGCAGAAATCAAGAAGTTCTTTGAAGCCAATGAGAACAAAGAGACAACACACCAGAATCTCTGGAATGCAGCGAAAGCAGTGTTAAGAGGAAAATTTATAGTACTAAATGCCCACATCAAAAAGCCAGAAAGAGCTCAAGTCAATACCCTAACATCACAAATAAAAAACTATCCCCAAAGCTAGCAGAAGACAAGAAATAACCAAGATCAGAGTAGAAATAAAGGTGATAGAGACATCAAAAACCCTTAAAAAAATCAGCAAATTCAGGAGCTGTTTTTTTTGGGAAAAAAAAAAAAAAGTAAAATAGATAGACTACTAGCTACACTAATACAGAAAAGAAGGAGAAGAATCAAATAGATATAATTAGAAACAATAAAGGGGATATCACCACTGACGCCAATGGAAATATGAACAACCATCAGAAAATACTACAAACACCTCTATGCAAATAAACTACAAAATCTAGAAGAAATGGATAAATTGCTGGATATATACACCCTCCCAAGACTGAACCAGGAAGAAGTTGAGTCCCTGAATAGACCAATAATGAGTTCTGAAATTGAGGCAGTAATAAATAGCCTACCAAAAAAAAAAAAAAAAAAAGCCCAGGATCAGAAGGATTATAGCTTAATTCTACCAGAGGTGTAAAGAGGAGCTGGTAACATTTCTTCTGACACTATTTCAAACAATTGAAAAGGAGGGACTCCTCCCTAATTCATTTTATGAGGAAAGCATCATCCTGATACCAAGACCTGGCAGAAATACAACAACAACAAAAAAACAGAAATCAGGCCAGTATCCCTGATGAACATCAATCCAAAAAATACTCAATAAAATACTGGCAAGCTGAATCCAGCATCACATCAAAAAGCTTATCCACCATGATCAAGTTGTCTTCATCCCCAGGATGCAAGGTTGGTTCAACATATACAAATCAATGTATGTAATTCATCACATAAACAGAACTAAAGACAAAAACCACATGGTTGTCGCAATAGAAGCATAAAAGATCTTTGATAAAATCCAACATCCTTCATGTTAAAAACTCTCAATAAACTAAGTATTGAAGAAAATACCTCAAAATAATAAGAGCCATAGATGACAAACCCACAGTCAATAGCATACTTAATGGTCAAAAGGTGGAAGGAATCTTTTTAAAAACTGGCACAAGACAAGGATGTCCTCTCTCACTATTCCTATTCAACATGGTATTGGAAGTTTTGGCCAGGGCAGTCAGACAAGAGAAAGAAAGAAAGGTTATTCAAGTAGAAGAGAGGAAGTTAAATTATCTTTGTTTGCAGGTGACATGATCATATATCTAGAAAACCCCATTGGGTCAGCCCAAAAGCTTGTTAAGCTCATAAGGAACTTTAGCAAAGTCTCAGGATACAAAGTCAGTGTATGAAAATCACAAGCATTCCTATGTACCAAGAACAGACAAGCAGAGAGCCAAACCATGAATGAACTCCCATTCGCAATGCCCACAAACAAAATAAAATACCTAGGAATAAAGCTAACAGGGGAAGTGAAGGACCTCTTCAAGGAGAGCTACAAACCACTGCTCAAGGAAATCAGAGAGGACACAAACAAATGGGAAAACATTCCATGCTCAGGGATAGGAAGAATCAATATTGTGAAAATGGCCATATTGCCCAAACTAATTTATAGATTCAATGCTATTCCTATTAAATTGCTATGGACATTTTTCACAGAAATAAAAAAATATATTTTAAATTTCATATGGAACCAAAAAAAAGTCCTAATAGCCAAGACAATCCAAAGCAACAAGAGCAAAGCTGGAGGCATCAGGGTACCCGACTTCAAACTATATAAGAAGGCTATGGTAACCAAGACAGCATGGTACTGGTACAAAAATGACACATAGATCAATGGAACAGACTAGAGAACTCAGAAATAAGACTGCACACCTACAACTATCTGATCTTTGATAAACCTGACAAAAACAAGCAATGAAGAAATAATTCTCTATTTAACAAATGGTACTGGGAAAACTGGCTAGCCATATGCAGAAAACTGAAACTGGACCCCATCCTTACACTTTATACAAAAAATAACTCAAGATGGATTAAAGGCTTAAATGTAAAATCCAAAACTATAAAAACCCAGAAGAAAATCTAGGCAATACCATTCAGGACATAGACACGGGCAAAACCTTTATCACAAAAACGCCAAAAGCCATTGCAACAGAAGTGAAAACTGACAAATGGGATCTAATTAAACTAAAAAGCTTCTGCACAGCAAAAACAAAACAAAGCAAAAAAACCACAAACCATCATCAGAGTGAACAGACAACCTCCAGAATGGGAGAAAAATTTTGCAATCTATTCATTTGACAAAGGTCTGATATCCAGAGTCTACAAGGAATAAAAACAAATTTACAAGAACAAAAACAAACAGCCCCATTAAAAACATCATTGATCATTAGAGAAATGCAAATCAAAACTATAATGAAGGCTGGACGAAATGGTTCATGCCTGTGGTCCCAGCATTTTCAGAGGCCAAGGCAAGCGGATCACTTGAGACTAGGAGTTCATGACCAGCCTGGCCAACATGGTGAAACCCCATCTCTACTAACATTACAAAAAATAGCCAGGCATGGTGGCACACACCTGTAGTCCTAGCTACTTGGGAGGCTGAGGCAGGAGAATTGCTTGAACCCAGGAGGCGAAGGTTGCAGTGAGCTGAGATCGTACCACTGCACTCCAGCCTGGACAACAGAGCAAGACTCCATCTCAAAAAAAAAAAAAAACCTATAATGAGATACCATCTCATGCCAGTCAGAATGTCAGTTATTAAAAAGTCAAGAAACAATAGTTACTGGCAAGGTTGCAGAGAAATCAGAATGCTTTTACACTGTTGGTTCAAATGTAAATCAGTTCAACCATTGTGAAAGACAGTGTGGTGATTCCTCAAAGATCTAAAATCAGAAATACCATTTGACTCAGCAATCCTATTACTGGGCATATACCCACAGGAATATAAATCATTCTATGATAAAGATACCATGCATGCATATGTTCATTGCAGCACTACTCACAACAGCTAAGACATGTAATCAACCCAAATGCCCATCAGTGATAGACTGGATAAAGAAAATGTGGTACATATACAACATGGAATACTATGTAGCAATAAAAAGGATTGAGATCATATCTTTTTGCAGGGAGATGGATGGAGCTGGGAACCATTATCCTCAGCAAACTAATGTAGGAACAGAAAACCCAACACCACATGTTCTCACTTATAAGTGGGAGATGAACTATGAGAACACACAGATGGGGCAGTGGGGGTGGGGTGGCGGGGAACAACACAGTGGGGCCTGTCAGGGACCTATGGGGAGGGAGAGCATCAGGAAAAGTAGCTAATGCTTGTTAAGCTTAATACCTAGGTGATGGGTTGATCTGTGCAGCAAAATCAGCATGGCACATTTACCTATATAACAAACCTGCACACCCTGCACACGTACCCCTGAACTTAAAATAAAAGCTGAAGAAAAAACAAGTTTTTTTGTAGAGATGGGATCTTCCTATATTGCCCAGGCTGGTCTCAAACTTCTGTGCTCAAATGATCCTCCTGCTTTGGCCTTCCAAATTTCTGGGATTTCAGACATGAACCATTGCTCCTGACTCCCTATCAACTAATTCTTAACTTTAAATTTATTTTTATTTTTTGTTTTCTTTTAGAGACAGGGTCTCATTCTGTCACCTAGGTTGGAGTGCAGTGGCATGATCATAGCTCATTGAGGTCTCAAACTCCTGGGCTCAAGCAGTCCTCCTGTCTTAGCTTCCTGAGTATCTGGGGCTACAGGTGTGTACCATCACACCTGGCTAACTTTAATGTAGCATAGTCTTACTATGTTGCCCAGGCTGGTCTTGAACTCTTGGCCTCAGGCGATTCTCCCACCTCAGGCTTCCAAAGTGCTGGGATTACAGGTGTGAGCCACCACTGCCCAGCCTGATTCTTAACTTTATGCAGGACATCAAATCCTTAATCATACATAGTGCGTCAAATCAATTCAATTGTCATCGGAATGCATGCCACCTCCATATCATTTATTAACAAGCAAGCTTCAAGAAACCAGCAATCTCTTCTTATCCTGGACCCATTAATCATGGGCGCTTGGGAGTTCTAGCCTGAAATTATTTGGCATCTGGTTCTTTCTTCAGGTCCAGCTCACCTGATATCTCTAGTAATTTCCTTAACTAAAATATCCTGATGGACTAATGAGTATTTTCTCATAATTCCATACAACTGTGGTTTCATGTATGTGACATTCTTAATTGTTGGGTAGGCTGTGATACTGCTATGGCTGTCAAAAACTTTAATGTAGTCAGCAACTTGTAGCTGAGCTTTAATTGCTGCTATGTACTAACATCATCAACCATAAGGTGTTATTTAGTCAATGCGACATGAGAATTTTTATATGTAAAGTCTCACCCCATACATACACACAAAGACATGTACAGGTGAAATAAACTAAATGAAATAAATTAATAAATATATAAGTTTAATTCCCTAAGTCCATTTTCTTCTTTTTATGTTTTTTTTTTATTTGTTAACTCCCTAAAGCAAGATAGTATCTATAAACAAACTAGGCTGCAAGGCTTTTATGAAATTTACTCATAATACACATAATTTAAATATTTTCCCCAATTTTTTCCTTAAAGCTTATTTAGCCTATTTCTCAATTAAAGAACTTCAAAATATGTATTTTCCTCAAAGGATTCTAGCTTAACGGGCTAAATTTTTTTTTTTTTCCCAATTCCTATCATGCAGTTCTTCTGCCATTCTACCCCAAATTTGACATTGTTTTCAAAGATTTGACTTTGTTTTTAAACGTAGCTTTATTCAAAGCAATGCACTGAAAATGTCTAGATGGACTCTTTGCAGCTCCATAAACACTTACACTTGGTCCCGATCTTTTTATTAACTTTAAATTACATATGCAAGTATCCAAATTGCAGTGAGAATTCTCTCTGGATCATAAAGGTATGGAAGAAACAGCCAGCAAGCACCTTATTACTCCTTGTTGAACTCACCCCCTCTTTGACCTCATTTCTTTGACTTTCTTTTGTCTCCAGCCATTCTCAAATGTGCTAGGCTTGCTTCGCCTCAGAGCATTTGCACATGCCATTCTCTCTGCTTCAAATATTTTCCCCCTTGAATTCTGCATGGGGAATTTGCTCTTCATATTCTTTGGCTTTTCCCTCAAATACAACCTTCTCACTTACCAACCTTCCCTGACCAAATTATTTAAAACTGAATTCACAACAGTCTTATTGGTCCCCTTTGCTTCCTTTATTTTCTTCCTAGCACTTTCCACTTTGACATGCCATATATTTTGTTTACTGTCTGGTTCTCCCACTGAAATGACAAGAGGGTTTTTCTCTTGTGCCTTTTCTTTTTCACTGTTCTAACATCACTGCTCAGAGGAGTGATTGTCACAGAGAAGACACTCATTTAACACTTGAATGAATGAATGAGACACAGGATCTGGGGAACAAAGCAAGTTAGAAACACCACCCTACCTTACCTAGAGTAGCACTCCCATTTTCCCATGGCTTATTGCCTGTTTTCTCAATTTGCTCATATGTGGAATGAATGACAAACTAATACGTGCCCTTCACTTCAGAATCTCACAAATGAGCATGATTTTTTTCTTCTGATCCAGGGGTTTTGGAACACACTTTACAGTGACCAAAAAACCTTTGTGAAGTGTCAGTGTGGAGAAGCAAATACAAACTCTTCACTAAGTGGCCCTCTTTTTGAATGTTAACACGGTTTGGTCCCAGGGATTTCTGTGTTCAAAGCCTTTCAGGGCAAGGCAGTTTTCTGCGGAGTACACTGTCCTATATACCTAATGGGCTACTGGGTTTCAGCTGGACAAAGTCCTTATAGAGCCGTGATTCTCAAGAAGTAGGGGGAGATACTTTTATTTGTCATAACTAGAGTGGAGAGAGTGTGGTGTGCTACTGGCATTTAGTTGCTAGGGATGCTCAATATCCTACAATTAAGGTTCTATTTTTACCAAGTAAAAATATAGGTAGGCAAGGTAGCCAGATGAAATACAGGGACTTCCAGTTAAATGTGAATCTTAGATGAACAACACTGTTACCTGAAACTCAAATTTAACTGTATTTTATCCGTGACCCTGCCTCCTATAATGCACAGGACAGCCTCCTTCCCTCTCAACAAAGAATTATCCAGGCCCAAAATGTCAAGAGTGGAGGTTGAGAAACCCTGCCATACAGCAGTGGTTCTCAAGCCCTAGTTTGTACCACAATTACCTTCAGGGTTGGTAAGGCCGATTATTGGGCACACCCTCAGAGTTTCTTACTCAGAAGGCCTGTAGTGGGGTCCCAAGATTTGCATTTCCATCGATTTCCCAGGTGAAGCTGCTGTTAGATTGGGGGCACATTTGAGAACCACTACCCTAGAAAGTCCCCATGCTCTCCTGATTAGGAAGGAGCGAGGAAGGTTTCCAAAGTAGGACAGGGGTGGGAGGGTAAGGGAGAGTGGCGGGAAGAGCTGGCCCGCTGGGGTGGGTTATTTCGGCCGTTCTGGCCTCGCAGGCGTTTTCGGGATCCCTCTAGGCGCCGCGGAGGTCCTGGAGTCTCGATGGTCGCTCGGGCCGGGGCGTGGCCTGGCCCGGGGGCGTGGCATGGAAGGCCGGCCGAGGTGCAGCGAGCCCTCTGGTGCCGGACGTTGCGCGGCCGCGACGCCCGACGCCAACGCAGGCGCAGCGCTCCGATTCGGCGCGGCTCATGGTCCGGTTCGGGCTCGCGAGTCTCCGTCTGGGGTAGGGCAGGTAGGCCTCAGTGTGCTCGCGCTGCAGGCAGGGCTTCGCTTGAGTACAGGAGTGGTTGGCGTTGATGTTGCGTTTTCTCAACGGCGGCATCCGAGGAGTTCGTCCTCACCACTGCGCGCCGACGGTGGGCTGGCGGGACCAGGACAGGAACAATGGGATTCCGAGGGCCGCAAGGGGGCGCTCCTTCTGCGGGTTGGGGTGCGAGGCCGGAGGCCGGGCCGGCTGAGCGGGAGGCGGAGCGGGGTGGGTGGGGACCAGGGCGGGGTCGGGCTAAAGAGGGATGGATTCAGGGCGGGGTGGGAGGGACCAGGGCAGGCTCGGGCGGGGTGGGCGGGACGAAGGAGGCGGGCGGCCTGAGGCTGGCGGCGGGACTGCGAATGCCACGTCACATCCTGGGGCGGGGTGGCTCTGTGCCGGGGCGCGCTGGGGGCGGGTCGTTTTTAACTGCGTCTGCCTGGGAAGCTGCTGAGGTTTCTGAGGGTCTTTGTTTGCCCTTCTTTCTCTTTTGCTAGTGAGGTGAAGAGAAGGGAGGGTTCTTCCGTATCCCACAAAAGCCATTCTGAGCTGTTGGGTGAAGGGGTGGCCTGCCCTTCCACACCTGTGGGATATCTTGTCAGGTGGGAGGAGAGACTGAGAAAAGAAATAAGACACAGAGACAAAGTATAGAGAAACCACAGTGGGCCCAGGGGACCGGCACTCAGCATACCAAGGACTTGCACCAGCACCGGTCTCTGAGTTCCCTCAGTTTTTATTGATTATTGTTTTCATTATCTCAGCAAGAGGAATGCGGTAGGAGAGCAGGGTGATAAGGAGGTCAGCAAAGAAACATGTGAGCAAAAGAATTTATGTCATAAGTTCAAGTGGAGGTACTATGCCTGGATGTGCACGTAGGCCACATTTATGTTTCTCTCTGCCCAAACATTTCAGTGGAATAAAGAATAACAGGGCAGCATTGCTGCCAACATGTCTTGCCTCCTGCCATAGGGCAGTTTTTCTCCTATCTCAGAATTGAACAAATGTACAATCAGGTTTTGTACGGAGACATTCAGTTCCCAGGGGCAGGCAGGACACAGTGGCCTTCATCTATCTCAACTGCAAGAGGCTTTCCTCTTTTACTAATCCACCTCAGCACAGACGGGTGTCGGGCTGGGGGACGGTAAGGTCTTTCTCTTCCCACGAGGCTGTATTTCAGACTATCACATGGGGAGAAACCTTGGACAATACCCGGCTTTCCAGGGCAGAGGTCCCTGTGGCTTTTCATGGTGCATTGCGCCCCTTGTTTATTGAGACTAGAGAATGGTGATGACTTTTACCAAGCATACTGCTTGTAAACATTTTGTTAACAAGACATGTCCTGCACAGCCCTAGACCCCTTAAACCTTGATTCCATACAACACATGTTTTTGTGAGGTCAAGGTTGGAGCAAAGAGGTTGGGGCAAAGTTACAGATTAAGAGCATCTCAGGGCAAAGCAATTGTTCAAGGTACAGGTCAAAATGGAATTTCTTATGTCTTCCCTTTCTACATAGACACAGTAGCAGTCTGACTTCTCTTTCTTTTCCCTACAGTTAGGCACCTGGCTCAGCTTTGGGGCATTTACATCTATAAAATGTCTTTTGAATAATTTTTATCTTGAATTAATTTCAGAGTTTCAGAGTGTTGTGAAACAAGCAAAAATTCCCATGTACGGTTCGTCTGGATTTCCTAGGGGTTAACATCTTATTTTACAAAACAGTCAACAAAACCAGGATATTAACACCTACAGGCCTTATTCGAATTTCTTTACTCTCACCTATTTCCATTTTGTAATTTAGGTTCCAAGACAGCATTTAGTTGTCCTGTCTTTCCTTGGAGAAATTTACATTTTAAACAGCAGCTCTCCCACCTCCCAATCCCCTAGGACCCTTTAGAGTGGCCTGGGGAGCTCCAGGTCTCACACCAAGTTGCTTTTTCTTTGTTGAGTGCCTGGGCCAGTTCAGTTGAGAATGCCCAGTTGGACCTCTGGGCAGCTCGTGACCACCCTCTGCTCTTCCTCCCAGTGCTGCTAGGCTTAGTGAATGGCACCTCTGTGCACCAGCCATAGGGTGCCTGAAATCTAGGAGGCTTCCCCGATCAGCTTTCTCCCCTGCCCTACCCCCTCAACCAATTATCCAGGCTTGATGGTTTTACATTTTAAGTCCTCCTTAAGTGTGTCCATTTCTCTCCATAGGCCCCACCCTTTTGCCGTAGCCTTTTTGTCCATCTCCCTGCATCTATGTTGGGGCCTGCATACTCAGTTGTCCATACTGCACCCAGAATAAGCTTGTTAACATACACCCTTCCTTCTGTTATGCTCTTCCTGTATTTTTTTTTTTTTTAAACTTCCCATAGCTCTTATAAAGACAGGCCTCCTTAACAGGGTCTTCAAGTCTCTGCAGGGCTGGTACAGCCTCTTGTACCCTGTCCCGCAGATTCCTTACTCTGGCGTCACTGCTTTGCTTCTCCTGTGCTGTGCCTTTTGCCTGGGGTGCTATTCCCTGCCTGCTGAGGGAATTGTTACTCTTTCTGCAGCTCTCCATCATTTTGTCTTTTCCTCAGGGAGATATTCTCTGACCTCCCTGACTAGATCAGTTTCCGTTTTACGGGTTTTGATAAACACCTCCTTTCCTTCTTAGCCCTGTCATAGTTACAATTTTATGCATATATACCTGGCACCCAGTAGATACTTCAGATGTTTGCCAAACGAATGAAAAAGTGATAGTGTGGCTGCCTAACAGCCTCTATCTAGACATTATTCCCTTTGTGAGTTTGCTTGGTATGTAGGAGCACTGGTTACCCATGTCCTCTTCCTCTGTTGGTTGTCTCAGGCAGGGCAAGAAAGATGGAGGAGCCACATGTGAGGGGATGGAGGGCCTGGGGAGCACAGTCTACAGACTCCTGAAAGGTAGAATGGGTTTTTGCTGAGCTTCTTGCGTATGTATCCCCCTCTGACCTGGTTGAGTCCACTGTATTAGATTCTTCACTGACAGGTATTTCCTATGCGTGGTTTCAGAGACTCTTTTAGGAGTATATTTTAGTTAGGGTCAAGCATATATCAAGAGCTTCTGGTTCTTTTCTAAATAGTTGTCTCAAAGCCAAATAGTAAAGATGAAAATGAAAGTCTGCAGCAGGTTGAGATGGACGGGGTGCCCTGGAGTGTGGCCATTTGGCTCTGTGGCATGATTAATTTGGTTCAGCGAGTATTTATTGAGGGCCTGCTGCATGCCAGATGCCATGTTGCCTTTTGGGGATACAGAGGTGGGGTCGACCTGAAGATGGATTATTAATTTCAGTCTATTGTGGTGAAAGCTGTGGTAAGAGGAAGACTTGATTGGAAGCTTGATGGATGAGAAAGACATTGCAGGGGATCCCATAGGCAGGGAATGGCACCCCAGGCAAAAGGCACAGCACACAAGAAGAAAGCAAAGCAGTCAGGCCAGAGTAGGGAACCTGAGGGAGACAGGATACAAGAAACTGGACCAGCCCTCAGGAGTGGTCTGAACCTAGAGGCAGAACTGGGTCGGGATGAGGCTGGGGACCAGGCTGTGAATGGCTTTGATTTTATTTCAGAGCTTGGTTGGCAAGTTCTTGGTAGGCTGTGAAGATGGGCTCATGCCCTAATGGCTGGAGGCTGTCAGTCTGTATGTTAGCAAGTGGATGGGGCCAGCCTAAGGCACAGTGGAGGAAAAGGTGGTAAACTGCTGAGAGGTGAAGCAACTGTGACATGGTAACACAAGTCAGGCTTCTTGACCCAAACCTGGCTGGACCTGGGGAAGAAGTCAGACTGTTTGAGTTTTATCAGTCATACTGATGCATCCTTAATCAAACATAATTTCTGCAGCAAAATGTATGGATATTTATAGTAACAGAATTAGACATTATGAAGAGCCTCAGGTCAGTCCAGGTTTTGCTGCCAAAGAGTTTGTTGCAAAGTTTTGAAAGAAAGTTCAGTTTTTAAACCATATTTGGCTTTTGGAATTGCAGGTGAGGGGTTTTGAACCTGAAATTATAGTTAACACTTGGGAATCCAGGCCTGTTGTGTCTGCTTTACACACATTGACTCTTACTGTTTTCACAGTGCAGTGAGGGTAGGTACCATGATGATCCCATTTTACAGGTGAAAGACAAGGGCACCAGGAAGTCTCTTTGGTAAGTGACTTTCCAAAATCGCACAGCTCATCGCTGGTGGCTCCATATTACACATTTTTCCTGGGCTACAGACTTGTGAAAGGGGGTGGGGAGAGATTGAGGGACTGAGGTCTTTCTTCTGCACCTCACACACCTGGCATCTGCCTGCAGCAAGCCTGCCTTAGTGCCAAGAAGGTCAGAGCAGAAGGGGAGCTGGAGCCCCACAGACATCACAATCACACACTTGGATTTACTGAAAGCCCATGGGGACTCATGTCTGTGATTACTGGAGCTTATGATCTAATCAGGTGATGAGCTTTTCTCACAAGCCATAGAGGAATTTGTTTTTTTTTTAACAAAAGAAAAAAACAGCTTTATTGTGGTATAATTGACATGCAACAAACTGCGTATATTCGAAGTGTGTAATTTGATGAGTTTCGGCATGTGACCACACCGTGAAACCACCACCACAACCAAGATCCTGAACATATCCATCATCTCCAAGAGTTTCCTCCTGCCCCTTTGTAATCTTTCCCTCCCAGCCCTATTTGCCCCCCCATCTCGAGCACCCACGAATGTGTTTTCTGTTACTATAGGTTAGCTTACATTTTCTAGGGTTTTCTTTTCTTTTCTTTTTTTTTTAGTATTTATTGATCATTCTTGGGTGTTTCTCGGAGAGGGGGATTTGGCAGGGTCATAGGATAATAGTGGAGGGAAGGTCAGCAGATAAACATGTGAACAAGGGTCTCTGGTTTTCCTAGGCAGAGGACCCTGCAGCCTTCTGCAGTGTTTGTGTCCCTGGGTACTTGAGATTAGGGAGTGGTGATGACTCTTAACGAGCATCCTGCCTTCAAGCATCTGTTTAACAAAGCACATCTTGCACCGCCCTTAATCCATTCAACCCTGAGTGGACACAGCACATGTTTCAGAGAGCACAGGGTTGGGGGTAAGGTCACAGATCAACAGGATCCCAAGGCAGAAGAAGTTTTCTTAGTACAGAACAAAACGAAAAGTCTCCCATGTCTACTTCTTTCTACACAGACACGGCAACCATCCGATTTCTCAATCTTTTCCCCACCTTTCCCCCTTTTCTATTCCACAAAGCCGCCATTGTCATCCTGGCCCGTTCTCAATGAGCTGTTGGGCACACCTCCCAGACGGGGCGGCTGGCCGGGCAGAGGGGCTCCTCACTTCCCAGTAGGGGCGGCTGGGCAGAGGCGCCCCTCACCTCCCGGACGGGGCGGCTGGCCGGGCGGGGGGCTGACCCCCCCACCTCCCTCCCGGACGGGGTGGCTGGCCGGGCGCTCCCCCAGCAAATTTTAAAGCACCCTCTGGGTGCTCTACTTCCTCTGTCCACTAACTGCCACTGTTCTGGGTGCAGCAGGGAGACAGAGAAGGATATGACACCAGGTGGGAGAGTTATTGGAGATGCGCAGAGAGGGGTTGTTGGTCTATTCTTGCGGTTGTAAAAGTGGCCCAGAGTGAGTTGTCCAGGGAAATTAAAATGCATAGAAAGTTTAATATCTTAAAATGAGAAGTTAACTTGAATCAGCTGTCCAGGTGGCTTGCCAGCAGTCATCACCATTTTGAAAATATTGGCATGGGGTCCCTGTGGTGCTGAGATATTTCCTTAGCTGGAATCCTTGTGGAAACTCCCATCATCATTGTGTGCATGTGCAAATCCCCCTACTCCTATAATTAATTTCTGTGAGCTCTGGATAAACAGGGATGCTTCCTGACTTCTGTTTGCATTTCCCCCCAGTATTACTGCATTTTATCAGTTTACTGACAGGGTCAGGGCGACTGGTTTTCCATTAAATTATTCAAGCGTGACTGTCTAATCTCCTGGAAAACTAATTAGATGCCCTTGGACACTAACACTTTCTAAATCTGTTGTGATTTTGTTCTGCATCGCTGGGCAAGTCACTTCTTTCCATGCCTCAGTTTCCTCAATGGTTAAATGGGGGTTACTACAACCTCAAGAAGATATGAAAGGACTGAAATGCATTGACATCGGTAAAAATGCTTAAAACAGTACTCTGCACTTAAGTGCTCACTTGCTAAAAGGGTTTCTAATGTCTTTACTCCAAAATATTTCAAACATACAGAAAATACAGAGAAAAATATATCAACATCCATGTCCCCACCTCCCAGATTTAACACATATTAACACATTTTGCCATATTTGATTCAGATTTTTTTTTAAATATGGAACACTTACGAATTTGCATGTCCTCTTTGTGGACAGGCTATGCTAATCTTCTCAGTATTGGTCCAATTTTAGTATATGTGCTGCCGAAGTGAGCGCTCAGATTTTTTTTTTTTTTTTTTTTGAGATGGGGTTTCACTCCTGTTGCCCAGGCTGGAGTGTAATGGTGCGATCTCGGCTCACTGCAACCTCGCCTCCTGGGTTCCAGCGATTCTCCTGCCTCAGCCTCCTGAGTAGCTGGGATTACAGGCATGTGCCACCACGCCTGGCTAATTTTGTAGTTTTAGTAGACACGGGGTTTCTCCATGTTGGTCAGGCTGGTCTCGAACTCCCGACCTCAGGTGATCTGCCCGCCTCGGCCTCCCAAAGTGCTGGGATTACAGGTGTGAGCCACCGCGCCTGGCCAGAGCACTCAGATTTTATAAAAAGAACTAACAGATCTGGTTGGCCTTCCTCTCCCCCCTCACCCCATCTCATCTTCCACTTCCTCACTCCAGTTTCCCTCCCTCCCCTGTGGGTACCCCTTCTGTGAAGAGCTAGTGTGTAGCCTTCCAGTTCTGGTTTTATACTCCTTCCCTGCACATAGTATCTGCTGAGAACACAGGGAATTTCTTGTGGGTATTTATAGTTATATAAGTGGTGTTCTGCACTTTCTCTCTGCAGCTTTGTTTCATTAAGTGTTGTTTTCAGGATCTGTCTGCTGTCTAGGTAGTTCATTTTTTTAAACTTCTAATTAATATATTCATTTCCCAGTTGGTAGTCTTTTAGGTTTTTCTGATGTTTAGCTATTATGGATCGTGCAGCGGGATGTTCTACTGGCATCTATTAGTAGAAGCCAGGGATGCCGCTAAACATCCTAGAATGCAGTGGAAAGCCCCGCCACCCCACAAGGGAAGACTCATCTAGCCCCAAATATCATCTACTTTAGAATGTATTTTGGTGTGAGTTGTGAGATGAAGGAGTTTGTTCTTTTCCCTCTGAATAACCAGTCGACCCAGACACTATTAAGGTGGTGAATCTTAAGTCAAATATATTTTTCCCTTAAATGGTAGAAAAGATCCTGTTGCCTTGCTTCTTAAGATACAATTTTTTTTTAAATTGACTTTTCTTGTCTTACAGGTTCTTAGACTCTGTGAGTAAAGACAGCTTCATCTTCCCAGTTCATCATGGCTTCAACATCCAGGTAGGAGTGCTGTTTGATCAAATGTTTTATTGAAGAATTTATTCCCCTATGCTTTTGAAAGGCCAGGTCCATGACATTTTTAGCTCTTGGCCTCAGTATAACAGTTGGTGTCCAGGAAGTATAAAGGAAGAAGGGAGAGGAGATGGGAGAAGAATGGGAAAAATGGGAAAAGGCTGACAGTTGCATGGTGTGGGTGTGGTTATGTAGCACTAATGTTTACACTCGATAGAAAACCATGACTTCACTTTCCTCATCTTTCAAGATAAAGACACCAGATGGTTACTCCTGGGGCCACCTCAGTCCCCGCAGGGTTTCTCATGCCTGGGGTTTGAACAGTCATGTGCAGAAGTTGTTTGAGAGTCTGGGGGTGAGCTGGAGCTTGGGCAGTCAAGCCTGGTAGAGACCTGGAGCTTGCAGCCTTGGCTCTGCCCCTGTGAACTGGGTGAGGACAGGTCAGGAAAGCGTGAAGATGGCTGCTGTACCCCTTACTCCAAGGTCCATGAGAAGGGCTTTTAATTTTCTTTCCCTTTAAGCCGGTCTCTTTTTCTGGCCCATGCAGAGCTTGGATGAGTGAATACCTCACCTCCCTGGAGGTCAGCATGGCAGCTGACAGTCAGTCTCCAGGAAGTGAGGTTGGAGTGAATTTCTAATGCAGCCTGAACTCCAAAGTCCATGGGCAGGTCTGTACTGATGCAGCTTCTGTGGTAAATCCTGCATCCTTCTGTTGGGATGGAGGGTCCTCACGTAGAGGTTGGGGCCTGCAAAGGGGCACAGGGAAGCTGCAGGGACCTCTGTGCCTACCCTCCATGCTGAGTCCATTCTCATAGCCAGGGTGATGTGTTTACAGCCTAGATATGATTCCTCACTACCCTGTTCCATGGTTCACCCCCACCCCTGGGGCTACGTATGGCAGCTGAACACTGGAAGTCCTGGCCAGGGCCTGTGGAGTCCTGTGGGGCCTGGTTCTCTCTGGCTCTGCTCTGCTCTCTTGTCTTCATTGCACCTGCAGCCTCGCTGATCTCCTTGCCGTTCTGCAGATGTTGAATCCCTTCAGTGTCAGGACTGTGTGCCTGTGGTTCTTTCTCTCTGCCTGGGACATCTTGTCTCCAGCTGTCTGTAGGGCTCTTTCTCTCACCTCCTTCAGGTCTCCCACTCTGTGAGCCTTCTCTCACCATTCTGTCCAAAATAGCAGCCCTAGCTCTACCCCTTTGTTGCATTCTGTCCTTATCCGGGATGGCATTCATTGCTACCTGACACCATCCTGCATAGCTACTTGTCTGTTGATTTGTTGTCTGACTCCTCCAATTAGAACTAAAGTGCTGTGCAGGGTGGGAGTGGAGTGTACCCATCGCCAGCCCCTGGGCAGCACCTGCTCACTGTCTGTGCTCAAATGCAAGTACAGAGAGTCTCCCACTTAGCGTGGTTCAACTTAAGATGGTGTAAAAGCCAGATACATTCTGTAGAAACTGTACTTTCAGTACCCATACTGTCACTCTGTTTTTCACTTTCAGTCCAGTAGTCAATAAATTATATGAGCTATTTAATACTTAATTATAAAATAGGCTTTGTGTTAGATGACTTTTTTCCCAACCATAGGCTAATGTAAATGTTCTGAGCACGATTAAGGTAGGCTAGGCTACACTACGATGTTTGGTAGGTTAGGTGTATTAAATGCATTTTTGACTTATGACATTTTTAACTCATGATGGGTTTATTGGGATGTAACCTGATTGTAAGTCGAGGAGCACCTGTATCACTCACCATCCATTTGGTTCCTATGTCCACAGGGCCAGAGAGTGTCAGGAGTTTCCATGTTTTCCAAATTGATTTGGCTTCTGAATTGCAGTTAGCATACAGTAGGATAACCGCAAGGGAGCTATCTGAAAATCCAGATCTGCTCAGTTCTTGAATTTGGGTAGTGAGAGTTCAAGTTGGGAGAGTTTGAGAATTTGGGGAATGAGGGAAACTTCTATTTGTCAATAAGAGAGGGAAGGTATAGTAAGACAAATGTAATTGCAGAGCTCCTAGGGCCATTGAGTCTGAGGGGACAGGAGTGGGTGTCACTGCAGCTGCCCAGGGCTCCCTGTTGCCAGTTTCTGTTATCTGGGGTGATGACAGCAGCATCTGGATTCATCACTAAAGGGACCCTCTGCTTTAGAGTACATCGTTTAAGAAGGAAAGGAAGTAGGTAAGACCCGTTTATTCCGTCTCCCATTGTTAAAATACTTCTGCACTTAAAAGCAGAATCTGTGGGCCGGGTGCCATGGCTCACGCCTGTAATCCCAGCACTTTGGGAGGCTGAGGCAGGTGGATCACGAGGTCAGGAGATCCATACCATCCTGACTAACACGGTGAAACCCCATCTCTACTAAAAATATAAAAAAATTAGCCGGGCATGGTGGCACGCACCTGTAGTCCCAGGTACTCGGGAGGCTGAGGCAGGAGAATCGCTTGAACCCAGGAGGCGGAGGTTGCAATGCACCACTGCACTCCAGCCTGGGTGACAGAGCATGACTCCGTCTAAAAAAAAAAATTATAACAATAAAAAGCAGAATCTGTGTTTAGCTGGAAAATTTACTTACTAAATGCGGTGCCTTGTGATGCCAGATCTGTGAAGCCATTCAAGTGGAAGTGTTTTATAGTGGGAGCACCCTCCTCTTTTCTGCTGAAGCATTGGCTTTCTGGCATGGCCTCTTCCTGATTCTGTTTCCTGTCATAACAGAGATGTCATTGCTGGGAGAGGTATCCACTCAAAGGTGAAGTCTGCAAAGCTGCTTGAGGTTCTGAATGCTATGGAGGAGGAAGAGTCCAACAACAACAGGGAAGAGATTTTCATTGCACCTCCCGACAATGCTGCGGGGGAATTCACTGATGAGGACTCAGGGGATGAAGACAGCCAGCGAGGTGCTCACCTACCTGGCAGTGTGCTGCATGCTTCAGTCCTGTGTGAGGACTCTGGCACCGGGGAGGATAATGACGACCTGGAGCTGCAGCCAGCCAAGAAGAGGCAGAAAGCAGTTGTGAAACCTCAGCGCATTTGGACCAAAAGAGATATTCGTCCAGACTTTGGCAGTTGGACTGCATCAGATCCTCATATTGAGGATCTGAAAAGCCAAGAGCTGAGTCCCGTGGGCCTTTTTGAGTTGTTTTTTGATGAAGGAACAATTAATTTCATTGTTAATGAAACCAATCGTTATGCTTGGCAGAAAAATGTCAATTTGAGTCTTACGGCTCAGGAATTGAAGTGTGTTTTGGGCATTTTGATTTTAAGTGGGTACATCTCTTATCCAAGGAGAAGGATGTTCTGGGAAACCTCTCCCGATTCACATCATCATCTTGTGGCTGATGCAATTAGAAGGGACAGATTTGAACTAATCTTCTCATACTTACATTTTGCAGATAACAACGAACTTGATGCAAGTGATAGGTTTGCCAAGGTCAGACCTCTCATCATCCGGATGAACTGCAATTTCCAGAAGCATGCACCCTTGGAAGAGTTCTACAGCTTTGGCGAGTCTATGTGTGAGTACTTTGGGCACCGGGGGTCCAAGCAGCTGCACAGGGGGAAGCCTGTGCGACTTGGCTACAAGATTTGGTGTGGGACAACCAGCAGAGGCTACTTGGTGTGGTTTGAGCCCTCACAGGGCACACTGTTTACCAAGCCAGACAGGAGCTTGGATCTAGGAGGCAGTATGGTAATAAAATTTGTGGATGCGCTTCAGGAGCGTGGTTTTCTGCCATATCACATATTTTTTGACAAGGTTTTCACAAGTGTTAAACTGATGTCCATTTTGAGGAAAAAGGGGGTGAAAGCCACAGGAACTGTTCGTGAGTACAGGACTGAGCGATGTCCCCTAAAAGACCCCAAAGAACTGAAAAAAATGAAGAGGGGTTCATTTGATTACAAAGTCGATGAGAGTGAGGAGATCATCGTGTGCCGCTGGCACGATAGCAGCGTGGTCAACATTTGCTCCAATGCTGTGGGCATAGAGCCAGTGAGGCTGACCAGTCGTCACTCTGGAGCAGCTAAAACGCGGACTCAGGTCCACCAGCCATCACTGGTGAAGCTGTATCAGGAGAAGGTGGGTGGCGTTGGTAGGATGGATCAGAATATTGCCAAGTACAAGGTGAAGATCCGAGGCATGAAGTGGTACTCAAGCTTTATTGGCTATGTCATTGATGCTGCCCTCAACAATGCATGGCAGCTGCATAGAATCTGCTGCCAAGATGCCCAGGTGGACCTCCTTGCCTTCCGGAGATACATTGCCTGTGTGTATCTGGAGAGCAATGCTGACACAACATCTCAAGGGAGGCGAAGCAGGCGGTTGGAGACTGAGAGCCGCTTCGATATGATTGGGCACTGGATTATCCATCAGGACAAGAGGACCCGGTGTGCCCTCTGCCACTCACAGACCAACACCCGGTGTGAGAAGTGCCAGAAGGGTGTCCATGCCAAATGCTTCAGGGAGTACCACATCCGGTGACATCATGAGACATGCTTCTTTGGTTTATAATGAGATGTTTACAGTTAAATACAGATGGCAGTTGAGCACTTCTGTTTTGTGTTGGAAAAAAGACCTGAATTTCTAATGACTTGATTTTCTATTTTCTCCCTACCCACAATACAGTTATCTTTTTTATTGTGTTGTGTTATGCCTACATGTGATATAAATTAATATTTATATTCATTTATATTTATATTTTTGAACTTATTTATTTAAAGTTATGGATCACTTTTTATTCAAATAAAAGTTGTGCTTTGGGGTATATTTGAATCCTAGCAAGAATAATCAAAGGAAAACTTGCAAGAACAGTAAGAAGACTTTACCATTGCATGCCATGGTTTATAATCTAAGATAGGCAATAGTGTATAAATATCATGTAAATGTGATGGATTTCTTAATCATATTTATTTCATATTAATCCAAGTTTATCAAACTTTTGAGGGATAATCTGCCTTGTATTTAGTCAGAGGGCTAGAGGTGCAGATTTCATATTTTCTTAATGAAAATATTTTCCTAATACACATATATCAATGTGAGATTCATTTTTGTAAAAAAAATTATTTTTTTAATTTTGTGGGTACATAGTAGGAGTGTATTTTTATGGGTTACATGAGATATTCTGATACAAACATGCAATGTATAAAAATCACATCAGGGTAAATGGGGTATCCATCTTGTCAAACACTTGTCCTTTGTGTTTCAAACAATCCAATTATACTGTTAGTTATTTTAAAATGTGCAATTAAATTATTTTTAACTATATTCACCCTGTTGTGCTAGCAAATACTAGGTCTTACTCATTCTTTCTATTTTTTCATACCCATTAACTATTCCCACTCTCCCCCACCCCCTAACTACCCTTTCCAAGCTCTGGTAACCTTCTTTCCACTCTGTGTGTCCATGAGTTCAATTGTTTTCATTTTTAGCTCCCACAAATAAGTGAGAACATCTGAAGTTTGTCTGTCTTTGCTTGGCTTATTTCACTTAACATAATGACCTCCAGTTCCATTCATGTTGTTGCAAATGACTGAATATCATTTTTTTGTGGCTAAATATTAATCACACTTCATTGTGTATATGTACATTTTCTTTATCCATTCTTCTGTTGATGGACACTTAGGTTGCTCCCAAATCATGACTATTGAGAATAGTGCAGAAAATAAACATGAGTTCAGATCTTTCTTCAATATACTGATTTTTTTTTCTTTTGGATGTATACTTAGGAATGGGATTCCTGAATCATATGGTAGCTCTATTTTTAGTTTTTGAGGAAGCTTCAAACTGTTCTCCATAGAGGTTGTACTAATTTACATTCCCACCAGCAGTGTTCAAGGGTTCCCTTTTCTCCACATCCTTGCCAGCATTTGTTATTGTCTGTCTTTTGGATTACAGCCATTTCTGCCCGGATGAGATATCTCAATGTAGTTTTCACTTGCATTTTTCTGTTGATCAGTGATGTTGAGCACTTTTTTTATACCTGTTTGCCATTTGTACCTTTTGTTTTTATTTTGAGATGGAGTTGCCTTGTCACCCAGGCTGGAATGCAGTGGTGCGCAATCTCGGCTCACTGCATCCTCTGTCTCCTGGGCTCAAGTGATTCTCCTGCCTCAGCCTCCCAAGTAGCTGGGATTACAGGCACCCACCACCACACCCGGCTAATTTTTCTATTTTTAGTAGAGATGGTGTTTCACCATGTTGGCCAGGCTGGTCTTGAACTCTTGAGCTCAAGTGATTTGCCCACCTCAGCCTCCCAGTATATATCTTTTTTTTTTCTTAATTATACTTTAAGTTCTGGGGTACATGTGCAGAATGTGCAGTTTTTGTTACATAGGTATACACGTGCCATGGTGGCTTGCTGCACCCATCAACCTGTCACCTACATTAGGTATTTGTCCTAATGCTATCCCTCCCCTAGCCCCCCACCCCCTGACAGGTCCTGGTATGAGGTTCCCCTCCCTATGTCCATGTGTTCTTATTGTTCAACTCCCACTTATGAGTGAGAACTTGCGATGTTTGGTTTTCTGTTCTTGTGATAGTTTGTTGAGAATGATGGTTTCCAGCTTCATCCATGTCCCTGCAAAGGACATGAACTCATCCTTTTTTTATGGCTGCATAGTATTCCATGGTGTATATGTGCCACATTTTCTTTAGTCTATTATTGATGGACATTTGGGTTGGTTCCAAGTCTTTGCTATTGTGAATAGTGCTGCAATAAACATATGTGTGCATGTGTCTTTGTAGTAGAATGATTTATAATCCTTTGGGTATATACCCAGTAATGAGATTGCTGGGTCAAATGGTATTTCTAGTTCTAGATTCTTAAGGAATCGCCACACTGTCTTCCACAATGGTGGAACTAATTTACGGTCCCACTAACAGTGTAAAAGCGTCCCTATTTCTCCACATCCTCTCCAGCATCTGTTGTTTCCTGACTTGTTAATGATCGCCATTCTAACTGGTGTGAGATGGTATCTCATTGTGGTTTTGATTTGCATTTATCTAATGACCAGTGATGATGAACATTTTTTCATATGTCTATTGGCTGCATAAATGTCTTCTTTTGAGAAGTGTCTGTTCATATTCTTTGCCTACTTTTTGATGGTTTTTTTTTTTTCTTGTAAATTTGTTTAAGTTCTTTGTAGATTCTGGATATTAGCCCTTTGTCAGATGAGTAGATTGCAAAAATTGTCTCCCGTTCTGTAGGTTGCCTGTTCAGTCTGATGATAGTTTATTTTGCTGTGCAGAAGCTCTTTAGTTTAATTAGATCCCATTTGTCAGTTTTGGCTTTTGTTGCCATTGCTTTTGGTGTTTTAGACATGAAGTCTTTGCCCATGCCTATGTCCTGAATGGTATTGCCCAGGGTTTCTTCTAGGATTTTTATGGTTCTAGGTCTTACGTTTAAGTCTTTGATCCATCTTGAGTTGATTTTTGTATAAGGTGTAAGGAAGGGGTCCAGTTTCAGTTTTCTGCATATGGCTAACCAGTTTTCCCAACACTATTAAATAGGGAATCTTTTCACCATTGCTTGTTTTTGTCAGGTTTGTCAAAGATCAGATGCTAGTAGATGTGGATGTTGTTTCTGAGGTCTCTATTCTGTTCCATTGTCTATATATCTGTTTTGGTACCAGTACCATGCTGTTTTGCTTACTGTAGCCTTGTAGTAGAGTTTGAAGTCAGGTAGCATGATGCCTCCAGCTTTGCCCTTTTTCCCCAGGATTGTCTTGGCTATGTATGCTCTTTTTTAGTTCCACATGAAATTTAAAGTAGTTTTTTACAATTCTGTGAAGAAAGTCAGTGTTAGCTCGATGTGGATCGCATTGAATCTATAAATTACTTTGGGCAGTGTGGCCATTTTCACGATATTGATTCTTCCTATCCATGAGCATGGAATGTTTTTCCATTTGTTTGTGTCCTCTCTTATTTCTTTGAGCAGTGATTTGTAGTTCTCCTTGAAGAGGTCCTTGACATCCCTTGTAAATTGTATTCCCAGGTATTTTATTCTGTTTGTAGCAATTGCGAATGGGAGTTCACTCATGATTCGGCTGTTTGTGTGTTATTGGTGTATAGGAATGCTTGTGATTTTTGCACATTGATTTTATATCCTGAGACTTTGCTGATGTTGCCTATCAGCTTAAGGAGATTTTGGACTGAGACAATGGGGTTTTCTTTTCTTTTTTCTTTTTTTTTTTTTTTGAGACAGAGTCTCACTCTGTTGCCCAGGCTGGAGTGCAGTGGCACGATCTCGGCTCACTGCAAGGTCCGCCTCCCGGGTTCACGCCATTCTCCTGCCTCAGTCTCCCGAGTAGCTGGGACCACAGGCGCCCGCCACCATGCCCAGCTAGTTTTTTGTATTTTTGGTAGAGACGGGGTTTCACCGTGTTAGCCAGGATGGTCTGGATCTCCTGACCTCGTGATCCACCAGCCTCGGCCTCCCAAAGTGCTGGGATTACAGACGTGAGCCACCGTGCCCAGCTGAGAAAATGGGGTTTTCTAAATATACAATCATGTCATCTGCAAACAGAGACCATTTGACTTCCTCTCTTCCTATTTGAATACCCTTTATTTCTTTCTCTTGCCTCATTGCCCTGGCCAGAACTTCCAATACTGTGTTGAATAGGAGTGGCAAGAGAGGGCATCCTTGTCTTGTGCCAGTTTTCAAAGGGAATGCTTCCAGTTTTTGCCCATTCAGTATGATATTGGCTATGAGTTTGTCATAAACAGCTCTTATTATTTTGAGATACATTCCATCAATACCTAGTTTATTGAGAGTTTTTAGCATGAAGGGCTGTTGAATTTTGTTGAAGGCCTTTTCTGCATCTATAGAGATAATCATGTGGTTTTTGTCTTTGGTTCTGTTTATGTGGTGGATTACGTTTATTGATTTGCGTGTGTTGAACCAGTCTTGCATCCCAGGGATGAAGCTGACTTGATCGTGGTGGATAAACTTTCTGATGTGCTGCTGGACTCGGTTTGCCAGTATTTTGTTGAGGATTTTTGCGTTGATGTTCATCAGGAATACTGGCCTGAAATTTTCTTTCTTTCTTGTGTCTCTGCCAGGTTTTGGTATCAGGATGATGCTGGCCTCATAAAATGAGTTAGGGAGGATTCCCTCTTTTTCTATTGTTTGGAATAGTTTCAGAAGGAATGGTACCAGCTCCTGTTTGTACCTCTGGTAGAATTCGGCTGTGAATCCATCTGGTCCTGGACTTTTTTTGGTTGGTAGGCTATTAATTACAGTCTCAATTTCAGAACTTGATATTGGTTTATTCAGGGATTCGACTTCCTCCTGGTTTAGACTTGGGAGGGTGTATGTGTCCAGTAATTTATTTGTTTCTTCTAGATTTTCTAGTTTATTTGCATAGATGCGTTTATAGTATTCTCTGATGATAGTTTGTATTTCTGGGGGATCAGTGGTGATATCCCCTATATGCTTTCTTATTGCGTCTATTTGGTTCTTCTCTCTTTTCTTCTTTATTAGTCTGGCTATTGGTCTATTTTGTGGATCTTTTCAAAAAACCAGCTCCTGGATTCATTGATTTTTTTTTGAAGGGTTTTTCATGTCTCTATCACCTTGAGTTCTGCTCTGATCTTGCCACCAGCCCAGCTCGCATCATCGTTTACATGGAAATGTTGGGACTGAGGTGACCTCATGCCTCTCAGTTCCCAGCGAGCTTTCTCTCCCACTGGCTCTTAGCCAGCCTGTTAAACAGAAAATAATCAGACAAATAAAAAACACTCTAGTGTTCTAGCAAGTTACACATTATTGCTTGCTTACCAATTGTCTATCTTAGAACTTTCTTTTCCTCATACAGTCAATATAATCGTATGTGTTAAATTTGGCTTTTGCCATTTTACAGTCCAAGATGCAGGACTTTGCATAGGGCACGGATGGATTTCCACAGTCAGCATAAGGATGGGAGGAGAACAGGGCAGATCCAGCCCCACTCAGTGAGAATTCTGGCTGGAGTTACTTGGCTGGACCTCACTCCAGAGAGAGGAGAACTTTCTCTGGACCAGCTACCAAGACAGCTCCTAGTTGGAAAATGTTTTCTTCTAAGGTGAGATGCAGCCCCCACTGGACAGGAAAACACCAGAGAGTTTTAAAAAGGAAAAAACCAAGGTAAGCCGTGGAGCTTCTTGACAGGGGACACAGAAGAGTCCACCCAGCTGGGGTGAATCTCAGTTCCCCAATGGGACGGCGTGTGGGAGCCACAAGTCACTGGCCCCTATAGCGTGGGAGCAGTGTGAGCCATCTGCAGTGGCATTGTCTCCTCCAGCAGCAGCGTCCATCCAGAAATCCATCTCCCAGGTCTTGCTGGAGGTCATTCTGTGTGAAGTTGATGGAGTTCTTTCTTATGCGCTTTTTTTCTAAGTGTGGGAGAGCATGGCCTTCATGACTGCTGGCTTCCAGCACGTGGCGTGCAAACCCAAGCCAGGGTGTGTAATTCACTGTAGCCCTTGACAGAATAACGGGATAAAAGTCATTTTTTAATCTTCTATTTATTACCCTCAGCCAATTAACTTGTATCTACAGTAGAAGATATTTTGCCAAATTTTTTTTCAAAATGGAGAAATACCTTGCTCTTAAGTCTTTTAGAGGCACAGACTTCTCAATTTCATTAAATTAAAATCACTAAAAGATAGAAAAAAGTGACATTCACATATCAAAAGAAGTTCTCTTTTGTCAGAATACTCTATTTTGGTTTGAAATGTTTGTGAATTTCCCATGCATGTGTCCAGATGCATAGGGAGTTTATTCATTCAATTAAGTTAAAACATTAGATAACATGGTAAATTCAAAAAGTAGCAAAGACACATTTTGTTTCTGTCTCTTTAACTGAGAAAACTGGTTGATGCCTCCTGTGTGTGAGCACCATGTAGCTGATGCAGATACAGAAACTGAGGTTTTCTTACTTGCTGCCACTGGCCCCGGCACTGGAGGTTGGCTCTGGGAGGGCAGGGTGTCTGTTTTTCTTACCACTCAGCAAGTGCCACACAAATATAAATGGGTGTCTCTGCCCTCTAGTGGATTCTGGCAGGCACTGGGAGCAAATGTGACTATAAAAAAAGTGAAAGATGTAAAAAATACACATTATCTCCAGAGGGGATTTAATTCTAACGGAGGGCTTTTTTTTTTCTTTTTCAAATGGGCTGATGGGTAAAAATGCAAGACTGGATATGTTGGAAAAAAGCACATTGCATTTGCCTTTTGGCATCTGTGATGACTGAGTCCTTCCTCAGCGCTGCCACAGGGAGCACATTCACACGTGTGTCACACAAATACCAAGGTTAGGTCAAAAAACCAAGTGTTACCTGGAGGAAGCCACAAAGACTATGAGACCAAGACCTCACCTAGAAGACACTTGATAGTTCAGAAGCCGAGATCCTGCGAGGTGTCTCAGAGAGCTCAGCTGTGACCCCGCACTGTATGGAAGGGCGGGCAGTGGGGCCCAGGCAGGGGAAGAGAATTGTCCACTGTTGAGCATCATCATTCTAAAACCCACATGTAATGCTATTGCTGCAAAACCGCTGACTGTTGAAGCCACAAACCACAGAAACAGACTCCCTTTATGGTCCTCACTGTGCAACCGGTGGCTTTTCAGAAGATGAAGATTCAACATATTAATCATAAATTCAAAGCATCAGAAGAAATACTAGGATATTTTCTAACCTCTGCTACCATGACTTTTTTTTTTTTTTTTTGGCGAGATTCGTGAATTATTGTAAATAAGTTCACAGAGGCCAAAGTGCTCCCCTGAAGTCATCCAGGAAGAGGCAGGCTGCTAATCCCCACATCTGAGACATCTGTGTTTTCTTAGGATAATAAGGGAAAGAGAGAGGGACAGAAATAGACAGACAGAGAATTGGAGCTAAGAGGAAACATTTTCAGATTTTGCCCCCCAAAATTCCCAGTGAACATTCCCATTGCCAGCGGGGGAGTTCCAAGGCCCTGGCTCCAGGATCCTGCTCTTTCCTTTGGTGACTCCTGTACAGATTTGGCATAGAAACAATATGGAACTTGTTACACTTCTCTGGACAAGTCATTATGCTTTTGGCTCACAGGCTCCACTTCTCTGGACACCCCTTCACCCTAAGCTTCAAGTAATTCAGCTTCACCCTTCAGAGAAGAGCTCAGCTGTCACTTCCTCTAAGGACCCTCCCCAGCCGCCTCTCCAGCAGAAGGGCCTCCACCTTGCTTTTTGCACATCTGTCCCTCGAGGTGCTGCTGTTCTCTGTGGAGCTGAAAAAAGGTGGTGATGCCCTGAAATTCAGCAAACTGCAGGGACACGTGTTGTTCTACCCCAGGTCAGAGTGTGTCGGTCATCACTTGATGCCACTCACAGACCACCAACTTCAGAATATCTAGGTGTAAAGCTCTGTACAAAAGTTGTAACATAATAATGTAAATAATTTTACATTATTATTAATAAATTATATTACACTATTACATAATGTAAAGGCTATTAAAACATATTTGTCTTCAAAGAATGGCCTTGGTTTCTGTGGGCAGTGTCTCCTTATGGAAAGGTAGTGCATTCCTGCTAAGTCATGGACAAAATGGGCCTCCAGGAGCTGCAAGCTGTAGTAGCAGCTTCTCGTCTACGTCCTTCACTGCATGATACTGTTGTTGACTTTGAAAGCTTCTTTTGGTCTAGTTTTATCAACAGAGCTAGTATTTCATGAAGATCTACTGCATACCAGGTTCCAGAAAGCTAAATGCCTTTTGTTTGTTATTACTCACTAAACACAAACCACAACTCTCTTCTCATTACTCACACAACAAAATTTAGCTGAGGAAGATGGAGTGACTTTCCCAGGGTCGCACAGCTACTAAGAGCAGAGTCGTGTTTAGATTCATGTGGGAATACTGAACACTGAAATGAACCAGCAGAAATATCCTATGTTCCAAAAGCCTACTCAAGCCATATGTTCTTATTTTAAGGAAAATCTTTATGCTAATTTTAAACTCCAAATACCTATGAATGGCAGAGATCTACAGATTTGATTCTGATATAAGAGATGATGCTCACCAGCTGGTTACTGCTACCACCCCACAACCCCGAGCATACTGGACAAATGTCTCAGCCTCGTGGTTAGTGGAGACAATGATAGTGGAGTCTGAAGTTGTCATGCAGTGACTCATGCAAGCTTAGGCAGATTTGGTGATATATGGCACAGAGATGCAAAGAAATGCTGTAGCTGACACACAAAGGCTGGCTCTGGGAGATGCAGAAGGAGTATGTCGCCCAAAATAGAGCCAGACAGACATCCTTAAGGAAGGAGCAAAGGGGCTGCATCTTAAAGAATGAAGAAGAGATTTGTCATGAGAGATGGGACAGGGAGTTCTTGAGAGGCAGAGGGAGAGCATGAGAATGTCGGGAAGGGAGGAGAGATTCTCGCACATCTGGGAAGCTGACAATCCATCAGCATGGCCAGAAGGAAAATAAGGAGGAGGAGCAGAAATAATAGATGATGCTGGATATAGAAGCAGGGCTGAAGCTGTGTCGATTGTGGTAGAGTTGTGATTCTATGCAGAAGGCAATAGGTAGCATTCTAAACAGAGATCTTTTAAAACAAGAGTCAGCAAATATTTTCTGCAAAGGGCTAAATGTTAAATATTTTAAGTTTTCCAAGCCATGTGGTCCCTCTCTCAATGACTCAGCTCTTCCATTATACCATGAAAGTAGCCAGAGACATTATATAACACATGTATGTGGCTGTGTCACATTACAACTTTACTTACAAACGCAGACTGTGTCAGACATGGCCCATGCATGGTAGTTTACCACACCCTGTTTTAGAAAGCTCAGGTTTATGATGTGTTAGAGAATGCCTACAAGAGCTCTTGTTTTAAATGGTAGAGTGAACATACACTGGAATTCTATCCTGCTTCACCCAAGGTCTTGATAGAGAAAGGTAGAAAAAATACTAGTAAATAGATAGATGATAGGCAGGTAGATAGATAGATGATAGATAAAGAAAATACATAGCTGTTCCAGAAAACAGAAAGGGATAACTTCATGAACCAAAACCAAAGTAATATACTGTAAAAAGGGAGCAGGCTGGGAAACTCACAGTTGCAAAGCAAATAGAATTTCCAACTGCCTCTTGTAGCCCCTTCCTGGAAGTAGTCACAACCCAGGGTGTTTCGACTTCTTCCTCTGTTTTTTGTTTGTTTTTTGTGGGTTTTTGTTGTTGTTTGCTTTTTTTAAAAAAATTCCCTTTCCCTGCTTTTTTGTCCCAGCAGCCTTTGTCACTTCAAACACCACAAGTTTTCTTTTTTAAAAAATTATATCAACCTTTCAATTAAAATGCAACATGTCTGAAACTTGGTATCTAGAGAGGTGAGATGGACAAAGGAGCCCTTGTTACTGCATATTTTCTTTCTCCAGACTTATCTTGCACACAGCAACAGACAATGCACAAAGCCACTTCCTTATGGACTGAAATTCTGAAATCCTTTTATGACTGGCCTTTCCATCCTTCAACTTCCCCTCTCCCATGCTGTGAATGATTGTATTGGACATTTTTGTTTTAATCTCAGTGACAAGGGAACACAGGTAGCTCTAATATAGCTGTGACCCAAATGCTTCTGTTTCTAGCATGTATTTATTTTGTAGCAAACATTTACATCCATCATTTTTCACTGTCTTTTGAAAATAAGTAGGCAATATCTCATCTGAGGTAGGATGTTTCTAGTGGTTGTGTTCTGAGGGAGAAAAACTAATCTGTTCTCTTTCCACTGCATTCCAGGAACAGTAAGAGGACCTTGTGCATGAATAATTTGTTTCCACACTACAGAGTGGGTAATAAGCAGATTGGTAAAAACAATTCTGCTTCACTTCAATAACAGCCTCCTCCAACTCATTTTTTCTCAACAAACTTATTTTTCCTGCAGAAGAATCCCAGACTTCTTAGAGAACCCAGTGACTTTTCGCACCTTAAATCTGTGAAATCCTCATGTTTTCTTCTGCCATATGCATAGTTCAAATATACAAAGATGAGGCAAAGCCAGACGCATTCCTGAAGGAACCTAAGAAATTCATCTCTTTCTGTCTCTGGAATGAAATGAATTCTCTAGACCATCAGTTCTAACCTTCAAAAACCAAACCTGTTTGTGAGATCTCCTTCAAATGCTACTGTAGATTCCAGTGTTTATTCATTAAATTTTTTAAGTATTTGTTTTATTTGGAATTCATTTATTTGTAATCTTAGTATTTGTATTAATATAAGGGAGAAATGTTTAAATCTGTCTATGCTATATGTGCCTCTGGCTTATTGCCCAATTAATTGTAGCCTCAGGCTAAACTTTGGTTTCTGTCTGTTTTTTTTCAGAACAAATATAACTGATCTCAAAACATCTGCTTTTATTGTAGGGAATCGTTCTGCCATCTCCATTCGTCTCTCTTTTCTTGCAATCCGGGTGGAAGTTCTTTAATATGAACATTTCCACCACCTTCATTCTACCGTGTCCACTATCAGCACATTCAAACGTATCCAGCCAAGGCTGTCATCTCAGGCCAGGGACTTTTTAGTAATCTATTTTGCTGTGATGAGGCTGGCACCCCTTTGACTCACTTTATCACCCCAGGGTTCTTTTCATTTTAGGAGCCCAAGAGGGCAGAAAAAGAAGTAGGTGAGCAATTAAACCCTCCGAGTCAGGAGCGTCTCCCCTTGTGTTAGGCAATGTTGTAGAACATCGTATTTAGCAAGCTCCTAGCAGATGAGCCACGTGGCTGCTGAGCACACACGCCTGCTTGCTGCTGTGAGCTCAGACACCATCATCATTAGTCTTTTCCACCTGTGGAGGGAATTATAAGGACCACTTAATAACCTGCAAATCATAGCGAGTTAAAGGTGTTTCCCCAAAACACTGATGACAGAATGAAAGGTGAGGAGTGTTAGCCACAGGTCAAAAGTGCAGGAAACTCTCTCAGTGTGGGTTGTTGAAGAAATGCACGTCTTTTTTCTTTTGGAAGTCTCCCTAGAATGGGGTCAAGGACTCTGTCCATTCTAGGATGAAAAATTGGGAAATTAGGCTTTGGAGCACCTGGTAGTGCTCAGAGTGTCCAGAGTGAAGACCAGAGTTTCGTTGTCCTTAAGACTGACCTGGGAGATGTGGCTGCAGGCCATTGAGGAAGGTGAGGCAAAAGCTTCCTGTCTGCTCCCTGTGTGCTGAGGAGGGAGCTCTGCCATGGGCTTTACTTTCACATGTTACATTCTACAGGTCTTGTTTTATAAAAGCATCCCTTCCTTGAGGCTTCGGCTGCTCATCGCTGCTCAGCATCATAGCGTGCCATAACATGGTAAGATTTGGGTTTGTTTCTGGGGAGAGATCTTGGTATAGAGAAAGGGGAAGTGCTTAGAGCCACCATCAGGACAGTTGGGATGAAAGCTGGGGATGGGCAGAGGCTGGAGGAAATATGTGCACCCCCTGTAAACACTTTTATTCATGTTTTAATTACTCACTTTTCTTACAGTGTTAAAGTAGTAAAAATAGTATTGAAAAATTGAAAAGTAGGCGTATTTAAACTTGCAACATTATTTAAGTTTAAATATATTATTTGTACCTCATCAACATTTTTTATTTTGTTGAGAAAGTCTGAGGTTAATTGGCAGCATATTTGTAATAGTAGATAGAATAATGTCTGTTTTATAAACACTGGCATCCTACATTACATGTGTGAGCCCTGAAAATCTGAGACAGCTCTCAGATTTTTTAGAAAGTTTATTTTGCCAATCTTGAGGATGTGCGCCCGTGATGCCTCCTCAGGAGGTCCTGACAACATGGGCCCAAGGTGGTCGGGGCACAGCTTGGTTTTATACACTTTAGGGAGACACGAGAGATCAATCAATATGTGTAAGATGTACATTGGTTCAGTCCAGAAAGGTGAGAAGGCCAGACAGGGGGCTTCCAGGTCATAGGTAGGTAAGAGACAAATGGTTTCATTCTTTCGCGTTGCTGATTACCCTCTCCAAATGAGGCAATCAGGTATGCATTTATCTCGGTGAGCAGATGGGTGACTTTGGATACAATGGGAGGCCGGTTTGCCCTAAGCAGTTCCCAGCTTGACTTTTCCCTTTAGCTTAGTGATTTTCATTCCCCAAGATTTATTTTCCCTTCATAAGGTTTTCCTATGAGCATTAATTATTCATTGTGTATTTTATCACACAAATAAGGCACAGATTTTTAAAAAATCATCAACTTCCTGGCTACCTATATAGACATAATTACGTAGAAGCTCAACTAAATTTGCAAACATTCCAGAGTTTGGGTTTCCAATAATTCTTTGTGATTCTTTAAAAGGTAAAGTATTTTTTTCCCATAAAACATAGCAACATTTAAAATCACCCGTAGAATGTCCTGCCATTTTTGTTTCTGTAGTTTCCTCATTTTCTGCAAAGCCTCGCTGAGGAAATTGACTTTGAATATCCTTTTACACTCTTCTGTTTTAGAAAGCATTGTGGTAAAACATTGAATCATCATGGTCATAAGTTCTGTTCACATTCTTTCTTGCTTTGAATATTTTTTCCCAGTGGCCAATATTTGATTCTGTTGTATCATGGCTAAAAGGTAGGCATGGCAACAAAATAAAGACAGGAAGTCTTTGGAATAAGTGATCCCATCACAATGAATCAATTTGCCATTGGAACATATTTTTACAAAGTCACTCTTTTGAAAATATTTAGCTATGAATTAAAACAGAGTCTGTATGGTTAATATTTTTCCTGGTCTAAGGTGAACAGCATTTTAGAGAATGAACTCAGGACACAACCACAGCACAAGAAAAACGTGATAATTAAGTTTACACATATGTGTTACTACTGCAACAGAAAACATGTAAAGAACATTTGATTTATGTATCAGTCTGCACTGTTTAATTTTTTGTGTCATAAATACTCTTATTTAAAAAAACAGGACTAGTTAACAGTGTCAATTACTAGTAATTCATGGTATAAATAATTAAACAAGGAAGTGTTCAAAAAAAACAGTGTTTTAAATAAAGTTTTATTTTACATCATCTTTTTTACTTACACAGAAATTGTCAAAAAAAAGCAGAGATTTCCCATGTAGCCGCAACCTAGTTTCCTCTCTTATTAACATCTTCTATCAGTGTGTCTCACATGGCTTATTAATATCTTACATAATTTGTCACAGTTAATGAACCAATACTGATAGACTATTATTAACTGAAGTTCATATTTCATTTGGATTCCCTTAGTTCTATCTTACTCTGACCCAGGATCCCATCCAGGATACCGCATGACATGTAGACATCACGTGGGCTCTTCCTGGCTGTGACAGTGTGTCAGGCTTTCCATCTCATGATGACCTTCATAGCACTGAGGAGGATTGGTCAGGAATGTTGTAGAATGTCCCCCATTGTCACTTCGTGTTCTCAAGGTGAACTGTCACCTTTGATGTTCACTTGGATCATTTGGCAGAGCTACTGTTTGTCAGATTTCTCCACTGTGAAGTTATTTTTCCTCCTTGTCCGTACTGCATGTGTTCTTTTGGAGCAAGTCACTATGCAGAGCCTCACTCCGTAAGGAGTTGGCTCCACCTTCTTGACGGCTGAGTGTCTACATCAATTATTTGGAATTCTTTTGCAAAGGAGATTTCTATGCAACTCCATTTGCTTATTCACCTAGGTATACAAATACAGACACCTAGATAATTACTTTAAGGTTTAGTTATTATTCAACACTACAGTATTATGTTGCACAATTCATTCCTGTGTTGGCCATCAGTAGCTGTTTTTATTGGCTCTTATTTTTCTTTGATATGTTTTAACTTTTTTAGTACTTACTTTCTGATACTTCCAGATTATCCTGGCTCCTATATTTACTGTCCCAGTTCTAGTATCAGACATTTCTTCAAAGAGCCTGATTCCTTTCAGAATGGTAGGAAAACTTACATCTGGCTGCTGAATGAGCACATTGTATCTTCTCCCTCATTGGCAATGCTAGGAAGTATATGTGTGTGTCTAACCTACCTATACACACCTAATTATAAAGTTTTCTATGTAGAACTGTGTGTGTCTATATTAAACTAAACATAAGTTTACGTTGATGTCTCCACCTCTGATCTACTATCACATGAATCATTCTAGCCTTCTCGCCTTGCTAATTTGTAACCTCCCACTTCAACAGTAAGAAACCTGGTTCCCACCATCTGCGACTTATGTAAGTCATTGTTTTATTCCAGATACAGACACTGTGGTTTTACAATTGTTCACAATTGCTTCTGTTGGAAAGAACTTTATAAAATGGAATCCAATAATGAAGTATAGTTCATGTGCCTTCAGCCTACAGATTCTATTCATTTTCAAAGTTTTTACCTAGATTTGTGTCTTAGTCCATTTTGTGCTTCTGTAACAGAATACCTGAGGCTGCGTAATTTATAAGTAAAAAAGTTTCATTTGGTTCACAATACTGGTGGCTGGAATGTCTGAGATTGGGCAGTTGCATCTGGCGGGGCCTCAGTCTTTTTCACCTCATGGTGGAAAGTGGAAGGGGAGCAAGGGGTGCACCAGCGATCACACAGCAGAAGTGAAAGCAAGAGGGAAGCCAAGGAAGCCAGACTCTTTTTAATTACCTACTCCTGCAGGAATTATCTATTCCTGTGAGAACAGAACTCACTCACCCCCATGGAGGACATTAATCTATTCATGAGGGATCCGTCCCCACGACCCAAACACCGTCCACTAGGCCCCACCGCCCCACACTGACACAGTGGGAGTCAAATTTCAACATGAGTTTTTGTGGGGACAAACCACATCCAAACCATAGTAATTTGTAGCATAAATTCTTTTTCACATGATGTATTCTGTCCTGGGATACTCCACATCCTGAGTAATTTGATTTAATTTGAATAGAGTTTGCTTTAACCATTTGGCTGTAAAATTCTGCATATTTCGACAGATGCATTGTGGCAGATATCCCACTATTAAAGTATCATATGGAATGCTCAAACCCCCACCCCATGGAGCCAATGGCTTCCCATCTGTGTAGTTTGCCTTCTCCAGTGTCTCATTAAATGAGGTCACACTGTGTGTATCCTCCTCAGACTGTCTTCTTCCACTTAGCAATGTGCATGCAAGATTCACTCATGTCTTTGTGTGTGTTGATATCTTGTTCCTTTCTATGGCTAAATAGTATTCCATTACATGAATGTAGCACAATTTGGTTATGCATTTTGGGGAGGAGAACCTTCCTCTTCTAACTTTGTTCCAGGGTTGGAGACCTTCAAATTAACTGACAATAGATACATTAGTAGGAGAGACAATACTTGGCTTCTTGTTCCCCAAGTATCATTGTGCTGTTCTCAGAGTGCTGTTGGGAATGAAGTTTTTTATGTTCCCCCCCCCAAAAAAAAAGAACTAACATGGGAACAAATGATCTCTTAGCAAGGCGAGCTCTATTTTTCTGCACAAAGGGTGCTACTCAATAGCTGTCCAGCTACAAGAGCACACCAAACAAAGGAGACAGAGTTACTTATAACCTGACGTGTCTACCCTACTGCTGTGTCCAGTTTCCATTGGCTGGAATAGGACCTCCCATTTTACACTTTACCCGATTGGCTGTTAGTTTAAAACTTTCTTAATTAGGTAAGGGGAATAGAAGAAAGAAAGAAAAGGAAGTTGCCCAGGGATAGTTAAGGAAGCATCTCCAAATAAGGAATGGCATGCACTATGGGCTGGGGCTTGTCTAGTTCTGTCCAGGCATGCTGGAGCAAGCTAGGACAAGTGATTTGGAACACACACACACACACACACACACACACACACACACACACATATAAAAATAGTGGGTAGTTGTGACTTTATAATCTTTGAGGAAGAACTTTCCTCAAAGTTTTCCACAGTGCTTTGTAAGCATTGTCTCCATAAAAGTCAACCTTACTTCCTTAAAATTGCTGGTCATAACTGATCTTAGGTACACTTCCTAAATATGATATTCCAGTAAAAACCTTGATAATCTAACCAAAATTTCCAATTATGTCCTGTTATAAGGTGAATAGATTCTTATTGGACTTTTGCTAACAACAATATCATCGTGGAAATAAGAGTATTCAGTAAGGATTTCAAAATTCTGGAAAAATCAGGCAAGAAAAAAAGATAAACGCTTCATTTCTGTTTACAAAAGTATAATCTACTAAATTGTTGTAAGTTACAGTTAGAGTAAGAGAAAGAGATTTCTTAAATCCAGAAACTAGAATATTAACCAGCAATGCTCCAAAAAGCTATACAATTATAATCAATTTTCATCAGTTCATTCAGTGCCATGTAATCAATTCCAGTCTTGTGGATCTTGAGTTAGCAGTGTCATGAACCCATCAGTTTCCCAACCGGACTTCTGGAGACCTTAACTGAGTCAAGTGTATGGTCTTAAAGTTATTTAAGCAATATCATCAGAAGCCTATAACCAGAGTGCCTGTCATAGTCTTTTCTGTGAGTCTCAGAGGGAGTCCTGTCTTGGAGACGAACATTCTGACCTGTAGTTGATTGCAGGAGCTTTCAGGAAAGCATCGGGGGAAATAATATCTAAATGACAAAAAGTATGAAATGGCTGTGATGAAAGATTTGATGAGAGTTCATTATACCACAACTGACAAGGATATTCGATTTTTTCTGTGGCAGACAACATTTATTTATTTATTTATTTAGAGACAGCGTCTTGCTCTGTCGCCCAGGCTGGAGTGCAGCGGTGCAATCTCGGCTCACTGCAAGCTCTGTCTCCTGGGTTCACGCCATTCTCCTGCCTCAGCCTCCCGAGTAGCTGGGACTACAGGTGCCCGCCATCACGCCCGGCTAATTTTTTATATTTTTAATAGAGATGGAGATTCACCGGGTTAGCCAGGATGGTCTGGATCTCCTGACCTTGTGATCCACCCGCCTCAGCCTCCTAAAGTGCTGGGATTATAGGCATGAGCCACTGTGCCTGGCACAACATTTAAAGTAATAATTGGAATTATGACTCATTACTCTATAGTGACACATAGCATGGATAAGGAGGACATTGACAAACTTCCAGGAATTTTATATAATTTCTGAAAACATAACATTTTACCCATACAAATATAACACAGGGAAGGTTAGGTATCTCTTTTTATTTGTATCTTCTGTATGGTTTTCCTTATAAAAAATGCAACCTACTTTACTTGCGAAACATGCCCTACTTTTCTTGCATGCTTTGCATAGAGTTGTTTCTAGTTATTCTATTATTTCTAATAGTTTTATTTACATATATTGATTATAATTTTAATACTTAGTAATCTTTTATTTTCCAGAGAAAACTAGGAAGTAGACAGTTATAAACTGTCATATATTAGCATTCTATAGTAGGTTAGAAAATGTATGAATATACCATCTCCCAACATCTAGAGGGATGTGTTTCCTCATAATACAATTCCTCAGTGTGGCAGAAAAAAACATGTTTATTAACGGGCCAAAATATCTTTAGTCTCTCTGTAAAAATAGGAGCCAAAAGTATATAAACTTGAATTATTTATGTTCAGTAATTAATGTTTTAGTATTGTATCTTATTTATAAATGGTCTAGATATTTAATGCAAATCTTTTACTTAGCTTAACTTTAAGGTTAAAAATTACCAAAAGTACTTTGGAAACTATTCATAGGCAGATTTACTGTAAACAAATTATTTTTGAAATAATGTTTTTCGCTTTTCACAAGATGGCACCGAAAGCGAAGGAAGCTCCTGCTCCTCCTAAAGCCGAAGCCAAAGCGAAGGCTTTAAAGGCCAAGAAGGCAGTGTTGAAAGGTGTCCGCAGCCACACGCAAAAAAGAAGATCCGCATGTCACCCACCTTCAGGCGGCCCAAGACACTGCGACTCCGGAGGCAGCCCAGATATCCTCGGAAGAGCACCCCCAGGAGAAACAAGCTTGGCCACTATGCTATCATCAAGTTTCCGCTGACCACTGAGTCGGCCGTGAAGAAGATAGAAGAAAACAACACGCTTGTGTTCACTGTGGATGTTAAAGCCAACAAGCACCAGATCAGACAGGCTGTGAAGAAGCTCTATGACAGTGATGTGGCCAAGGTCACCACCCTGATTTGTCCTGATAAAGAGAACAAGGCATATGTTCGACTTGCTCCTGATTATGATGCTTTCGATGTTGTAACAAAATTGGGATCACCTAAACTGAGTCCAGCTGGCTAACTCTAAATATATGTGTATCTTTTCAGCATAAAAAAATAATGTTTTTCATAAGAATGACAACTTAATTAGAATCAAATCTATAAGCTTTAAGATTTTACGTTTCTAGTAAGTATAATATTAGCTTATTTGACTAGAACTCAAGCAGAATAGGAATTTATGCTTGTTTTATATTCAATAATGATAGTTTTGAAGATATAGTTGTTTTATTACACCAAAAATACTATATTAATCTTATTTAACTAAGTTTTATCCAAATCATGTTAACTTAAGAAACATTTGATCAGTTCCTATATTTCTAGGAGTTTGGTGAATATTTATTTATAAATGCTTATTTTTTTCCAAGCCAAGTTAGAATAGAGCACTTTTAGAGGATTTCATAAATGAATTTTGCAATGCTCTCTGGAGTTCAGAAAATATCACATATACATAACATACATTAATAGATATACAAACACAAATAGAGATTTCATAGCTGTCATCCTGAAATTTCAGCCATGAATCAGGCATAAATATTCTGATGGTTAATTTCAGACATCTACTTGATCGGATTGAGAGACACACATAGCTGGTCAAACACGATTTCAGCCATGAATCAGGCATAAATATTCTGATGGTTAATTTTAGACATCTACTTGACTGGATTAAGAGACACACATAGCTGGTCAAACATGATTTCAGCCATGAATCAGGCATAAATATTCTGATGGTTAATTTTAGACATCTACTTGAGTGGAGTAAGAGACACACATAGCTGGTCAAACACGATTTCAGCCATGAATCAGGCATAAATATTCTGATGGTTAATTTTAGACATCTACTTGACTGGATTAAGAGACACACATAGCTGGTCAAACATGATTTCAGCCATGAATCAGGCATAAATATTCTGATGGTTAATTTTAGACATCTACTTGAGTGGATTAAGAGACACACATAGCTGGTCAAACACGATTTCAGCCATGAATCAGGCATAAATATTCTGATGGTTAATTTTAGACATCTACTTGACTGGATTAAGAGACACACATAGCTGGTCAAACATGATTTCAGCCATGAATCAGGCATAAATATTCTGATGGTTAATTTTAGACATCTACTTGAGTGGATTAAGAGACACACATAGCTGGTCAAACACGATTTCAGCCATGAATCAGGCATAAATATTCTGATGGTTAATTTTAGACATCTACTTGAGTGGATTAAGAGACATACATAGCTGGTCAAACACGATTTCAGCCATGAATCAGGCATAAATATTCTGATGGTTAATTGTAGACATCTACTTGAGTGGATTAAGAGACACGCATAGCTGGTCAAACACGATTTCAGCCATGAATCAGGCATAAATATTCTGATGGTTAATTTTAGACATCTACTTGAGTGGATTAAGAGACACACATAGCTGGTCAAACACGATTTCAGCCATGAATCAGGCATAAATATTCTGATGGTTAATTTTAGACATCTACTTGACTGGATTAAGAGACATACATAGCTGGTCAAACACGATTTCAGCCATGAATCAGGCATAAATATTCTGATGGTTAATCGTAGACGTCTACTTGACTGGATTGAGAGACACACACAGCTGGTCAAACACGATTTCTGGGCATATCTATGAGGGTGTTTCTGGAAGACACTGAGATAACCATGACCCAATGTGGATGGGCACTGATATGGTTTGGCTGTGTCCCCACCCAGATCTCATCTTGAATTGTAGTTCCTGTAATACCTACATGTCGTGGGAGGGACCCAGTGGGAGGTGACTGAATCATGGTGGTGGTTACCGCCATGCTGTTCTCATGACAGTGAGTGAGTTCTCATGATCTGATGGTTTTATAAGGGGCTTTTCCCCTTTGGCTCAGCACTTCTTGTTGCTGCCATGTGAAGAGGGATAGCTTTGCTTCCCCTTCTGCCATGATTGTGAGGCCCCCGCAGCCATGTGGAACTGTCAGCCCATTAAACCCCTTTGTTCTTTATAAATTGCTCAGACTCAGGTATTTCTTCATAGCTGTATAAAAATGGATGAATACAGGCAGCATCCAATTGGTTGAGAGCCCAGATAGAATAACAAGGAAGAGGAAAGGTGAATTATCTCCTTCTGAAATGGAAACATCCTTCTTCTCCTGCCCTTGACATCAGAACTTCAGGGTCTCAGACCTTTGGCCTCACAATCAGAGTTACACCATTGGCTTCCCCGATTCTGAGTCCTTTGTATCTGGAGTGAGCCATGCTACCAGCTTTCCTGGTTCTCCAACTTGGAGACAGGCTATTGTGGAACTTCTCAGCCTCCATAGTTATGTGAACCAGTTCCCCTAATGAATCTTCTCTCATCTGTCTACATATATCCTATTGATTCTGCCTTTCTGGAGACCCCTGACTAATGTGATTACAATAACTACACAATTCACTAGTTTATATAGAAGACTTGGTTTTTGTCTTTGCCCCATTTTATATTTGTATTATAACTATGTATCTGGAAAATGGAACAAGTTTTTTCTTCTTCATATGAGGGCTAAGGCTTTTTTCTCACCAATATTTTTGGAGATTTTAAAGATTTTCTTTTTTTTTGACATAGAATCTTATGGAGGCTGAGAAATAATTTTTTTTCTATTTTATTCTTCAGCCCCAGGTGTTTGCTTTTGCAGATTCTTGAGCACACTGAGAGCCTCCAAGGCATGGAGTGGGGTGCCTGAAGTTTCAGTGATTATAGGGAGTTGAGAGACTCAACTGGGAAAGGAAAGGTCTAAAAGGAGGCAATTTGGAAGATAAAAATTTTCTCAAAGGAGCCATTAAAGTTGTAAATAATTCTTAGTAAAGTCATGCAAACAGGAAAAGAAGTAGAATTAGTTCCATATTGGTGGAACACATAGTCAGCAGAGGTTTGAGAAGGGAGAATTTAGTGAAGTGAGAAGTTCCCATGAAAGCAGCAAGATCAAGATCACAGACACCTTGAAACAAAAAGCCAGGAATAACTTCCAACCCAAGAGGAGAACAGAGAGGCCTCAAAACCAAAGCTAGGATAAGAAACTTGTAGCCCAAGAGTTATCTTCCAGACAAAGAAGCCTGAGATTCCAACGCAGCTTCAGAGAGTGCTCACTCAAAATGTTACTGAAACTGTAGGCTTTTTAATGACTTAGCCATGCCTGCAAAAGGCATTCCCTAAGGTGGCACAGAAGACGGAGCCCCCATATCCAAAGATAGCCAAGGAGAAAGAAAGACCCCTGTTGCCAGAGCCAGTGGGCAAAGGCAACAGAAAAGGAGACAAGGGTCCTAATGGGATGAGATCCTTTCGGATTTAGGCTTTTATACAAACTCCTGAGAACTGGCAGGTTGACAGCCATAAATGGGGTACCAAACTTTCTACTCATTGGATTACAAGTTCTCAGGCATCCAGAATGATTAACAAAATGACAATTTCTAGGGCTTCTGTGGGAGAGTATGGAAAGGTCTTTTTGAACCTTTTAATGCTGTGAACGGAAGAATGATGAGGTTCATAAATTTGGAAAGGAGACATTTCTTCATTTTTATGCTTATTTTTATTTTTTTTTGAGACAGAGTTTCACTCTTGTTGCCCAGGCTGGAGTGCAATGGCATGATCTTGGTTCACTGCAACCTCCGCCTCCTGGGTTCAAGCGATTCTCCTGCCTCAGCCTCCTGATTAGCTGGGATTACAGATGCCCACCACCACACCTGGCTAATTTTTTGCAGTTTTGGTAGAGACAGGGTTTCATCATGTTGGCCAGGCTGGTCTGAAACTCCTGACCTCAGGTGATCCACCCACCTCGGCCTCCCAAAGTGCTGGGATTACAGGCATGAGCCACCCACCCAGTGAGAGATTTATTTTCTATAAAGGGTTGTAGCCTGCAGGGTTGTCCTTCTGACAGGCTGGGAAGCATAGCCTCCAGCCAGAAGCCAGAAACAGATGCTTCAAGGAGGAGGTAAAGGAAATAGCAACTTATGCTGAGTGGAATGGCCAAATAGATTTATTTAATAAGCTCTAGGAGGAGTCATGAATATTTATGGAAGGAGAAATGCATGCACGCACAATTGAGTTTCTTGCTTCTTCATGGGTCCCATGTACAAAAAATGGCAGTGTTAGCATGATCCCAGGGTGGAGTTTTCAGCCCTCTGACATTAAAAGGTGAAGCAGAGGACATGAAAACTTGCTCTGTGCATCCTCTGTACGCTGGCCAGAACCTCTCCATCGTGGGTGGTCTCTTATCAGGCAAGAAAGGAGAGGTTGATATCAGTGGTGGAGGCTTTGAAAGGGCTGGTTTCTGTTAAATCCTTAGGGAAGAAAGCCTCATCATGGTTAGCAAAGGAGGGGGTATAACGATGTGTATCTTAACCCCATCATCCCATCCTAGCAAAGCTGAGAACTCAGTTTTGAAAGTTACTCTGGGGTCCCCTCAGCCAAGAGTGGGTCTGTTCAGTCAGTTGGGAGCTTAGAATTTAATTTTCATTTATCAATGCTAATGGGAAAGAGTACGCTGTCTTCATGGCAGCTGAATTTGCAAGAAACTCCTTGGATGGGGTTAATGGCAGCTGTATTTTTCTGGGAGCTGTGCTTTAATTGGATAAAGTAAGTTCTGGTAAGATTTCTTCATCTTCAGTATCTCAAATGTTTTCATTTAAATAATCTTTATAACAACTTTTGATGTCTGAGTGGATTCCCACACAGTCATCTATTGTAAGACTTTCTGATTCATTTTTTTTCCTTTGGTCATTATGAATAGGGCTTCTGTAAATAACTGCATGGTAGCTTTTGATGGGAAATAACATCAAAGTAGTTGTCAAAATACCTAGGAATGTTATTTTTGGATTGTAAGGTGAGACTTGTTTAGCTTTGGAAAAAAATGCCCAACTTGTAATAGGGGAGGAAAAATAATTTTCTGTTTTTGGAATTCTTAGATGGAACGCTCTGTAAAAACTGACAGATTAAAATGAGAAAAAGAGAAAAGTTTAAAAACATGTATATCTTATGGTTACATGGGAGATACTCAGGGAAAAATGAGTAAATCTCCAACAGGTGGCTTTCAATTCAAGCATAAATACTATCTTCAACTTAAAGAAAGAAGATTTGAGGTGCAGTAGTGGGGAGTTAACCAGCAAAAGCACATTAGACAAGGGTAAGGTTCGTTATACAGACTTAAGTCCATGCATTCTCCATTGATAAGACTCTTCAGTGATTTAGTTATCCTTCTCTTCTTGGTGTCGAGAGAGGTAGCTTTTAAATGGTGATTTCCTTTATAGATGTAAATTTTCCTTACACAAGTAACTTCTACTCTATTTTCACAACTTCCTTTGTTAGCATTTTTTTTTTCAAAATAATTAGCTTGGAATAATTCTTAAGCCAAAGGGACATATTTTGGGGTTGCATATTCTGGTTTCCTACCATTATATTTTGGGGTGGCATAGTTTGGTCTTATACACTGTGTTCCACTGGCAATGAAAAGAGTTCTTGTTTTTCCTCCAGCAATTTGTCATTTGTTAAAGAGCTTAGCAGTTCTAAGAGATATAGACCAGCTGTGCTATCTTTTTGTGGTTTTCAGTTCTCTAGTATGTTGAGCATCTTTTTGTAAGTGTACTTGCCATCTGTAGATCTTCTTTGGTGAAGTGTCTGTTCAGATCTGTGTGCATTTTTAATTGGGTTGTTTAACTTATTGTTTAGTTTTAACAATTTTTTATATATTTTGAATACAAATTCTCAGATCTGTATTTTGCAAATATTTTCTTCAATATGTGGCTTGTCTTTTTGTTCTCTTGACAAGGTCTCTTCCAGAGTATAAACTGTAAATATTAAGAAATCCACATTGTCATTTCTTCTGTGTATATCAACCTTCTGTGTCATTTGTTAAAATTCATTACCAAACGCAAAGGCACACAGCTTTTCCTCTATAGTTTCTTCTAGAAATTGTATAGTTTTGCATTTTTAGTGTAAGGATGATTTTGAGTGATTATTTGTGTAAGTTGTAAAGTTTTCCTCTACATGCATATCATTTCTTATGGTTTCCAATTAATCATTCCCTCACTATTTTTGGGAAAGACACAGGATAGTGGGCTCTGTTAGAGTAGATAGCTAGCTAGACATGAACAGGAGGGGGAGCTCCTGGAAAAGGGAAAGTCTGTGAAGGCTCACCTGGAGGGACCACCAAAAATGCACATATTAGTAGCATCTCTAGTGCTGGAGTGGATGGGCACTTGTCAATTGTGGTTAGGAGGGAGAAGAGGTACCTACGCAGAAACACCCTAGAACTTCTCTTAAGGTGCCCCAATCGGATGGGCGCGGTGGCTCACGCCTGTAATCCCAGCACTTTGGGAGGCCGAGGCGGGTGGATCATGAGGTCAGGAGATCGAGACCATCCTGGCTAACAAGGTGAAACCCCGTCTCTACTAAAAATACAAAAAATTAGCCGGGCGCGGTGGCAGGCGCCTGTAGTCCCAGCTCTTCGGGAGGCTGAGGCAGGAGAATGGCGTGAACCCGGGAAGTGGAGCTTGCATTGAGCCGAGATTGCGCCACTGCAGTCCGCAGTCCGGCCTGGGCGACAGAGCGAGACTCCGTCTCAAAAAAAAAAAAAAAAAAAAAAAAAAGATGCCCCAATCATCATTCACTCTGCAATAAAAATGTCAGAATATTGCTAGCTACATGCTGATAAGAAGGACAAAGGGGACATTTTTAAGAGAAACCTGGCACCATAAGTACAGATTAGGGCAGAGAAAGACATTCAAAAGAGGCAGCTGCAGTAGATACAAACGTGACCGCTGTCAGCCTGCCTGGTATGGCGGGAAGGAGGCTGGTGCCAGAGTGGATTCGGATTGATCACCACACATGTACCTCAATCAACAGTGAGGAGGTCCCACAAGGCTAAGTGGGGCAAGTCGGGGACCTATGGCAGTAGCAGGAAAACGAAAGAAAACAGGCGGAGACTTGAGACAGAGGCAGGAATGTGAAGAAGTCCAAAATAAAAATCCCTGCACAGGACTCTTAGGCTGTTTTCATGCACTATCAGCCTACTCCTCCCTATTTTTGTACAATAAGCTCTTTACTCTGTATTTCTTTTCAATGAAGTTATCTTCCATCTTTGTACTGCCTCTTGGTGAAAAGCTGTCTTCCAAGTTAATAACTGGGACATCAGCTCTCCGCAGTAATAGCTCCTTTTCAGTTTTAATTTACAGAACTGATGGGGATTAATAACTGGCGCTCTGACTTTAAGTGGTGCAGGAGGTGGCCAGTAGGGGACGGCAGCCGTCACACCGGGAGCAAGAGTGCCCTGCGTAGTCCCCATGTGCCTGCATGTGGCGTGCAGCCACGACAATGCCAGCAAGAGGGCCCGGCACTGTGCCCAGCTGCCAGCAGGCGGGTGTGCTGCCACTACAATGTGAGGAAGAGGGCTCTGCAATGTCCCTAGCTGCCAGCAGGCGGCGTGCCACCACTATACTGCGAGCAAGAGAGCCCTGCCGTGCCCCGGCGCTAGCAGGGGGCGGTGGACACCACTGTAAACAAGAGGGCCCTGCAGTTGTCCTAGTCGCCAGTAGGGGGCGCAATGGCAGAGCACCGTGGGCAAGCTGGTCCTGTAGTGCCCGGCTGCAAGCAGGGGGCGCCCAAAACGGGCTTTTCAGATTACTCAGGTTCCACTCGTCTCTGCGCCGCCGGGGACGTGTGTCTCTGCGCGTGCACCGCGCCACCCCCGCGCTCCCCGCCCGGCGGCGCGCGACTGTGCGACTGCAACACTCCCCGCCACCCTCAGCCGAGCGACGTGCGTCTCTGCGCCTGCGCCGCGCCTCACTCCCGCCCGCCCAGCGACCCCTCCCCTCCGGGGAGGCGCCGGCGTGCGTCTATGCCCTGCGCCGCGTCTCCCCAACAGCGCCGCGCGCGCCTCTCTGCGCCTGCGCCGGCGCGCCGCGCCTCTCTGCGCCTGCGCCGGCGCGCCGCGCCTCTCTGCGCCTGCGCCGGCGCGCCGCCTTTGCGAGGGCGGAGTTGCGTTCTCTTTAGCACACACCCGGAGAGCATCGCCAGGGCGGAGCTGCGTTCTCCTCTGCACAGACTTCGGGGGTATTGCGAAGGCGGAGCAGAGTTCTTCTCAGGTCAGACCTGGGCGGGCGGGCTGAGGGCACTGCGAGGGCGGAGCTGTGTTCTGTTCAGCACAGACCTGGGGGGTACCGTAAAGGCGGAGCAGCATTCTTCTCAGCACATACGTTGGGGGTACTGCATGGCTTTGGGACAACTCGGGGCTGCATCGACGGTGAATAAAATCTTTCCCGGTTGCTGCCCTGAATAATCAAGGTCACAGACCAGTTAGAATGGTTTAGTGTGGAAAGCGGGAAACGAAAAGCCTCTCTGAATCCTGCGCACCGAGATTCTCCCAAGGCAAGGCGAGGGGCTGTATTGCAGGGTTCAACTGCAGCGTCGCAACTCAAATGCAGCATTCCTAATGCACACATGACACCCAAAATATAACAGACATATTACTCATGGAGGGTGAGGGTGAGGGTTCGGGTTAGGGTTCGGGTTAGGGTTCGGGTTCGGGTTCGGGTTCGGGGTTAGGGGTTAGGGGTTAGGGGTCAGGGTCAAGGTCACGGTCAGCGTCAGGGGTCAACGTCGGGGTCAGGGGTTACGGTTAGGGGTAGGGGTAGGGTTAGGGTTAGGGTTAGGGTTAGGGTTAGGGTTAGGGTTAGGGTAGGGTTAGGGTTAGGGTTAGGGTTAGGGGTTAGGGGTTAGGGTTAGGGTTAGGGTTAGGGGTTAGGGGTTAGGGGTTAGGGTTAGGGTTAGGGTTAGGGTTGGGTTAGGGTTAGGGTTAGGGTTAGGGTTAGGGGTTAGGGTTAGGGTTGGGTTAGGGTTAGGGTTAGGGGTTAGGGTTAGGGGTTAGGGTTAGGGTTAGGGTTAGGGTTAGGGTTAGGGTAGGGTTAGGGTTAGGGTTAGGGTTAGGGTTAGGGTTAGGGTTAGGGTAGGGTTAGGGTTAGGGTTAGGGTTAGGGTTAGGGTTAGGGGTTAGGGTTAGGGTTAGGGTTAGGGTTAGGGTTAGGGTTAGGGTTGGGTTAGGGTTAGGGTTAGGGTTAGGGTTAGGGGTTAGGGTTAGGGGTTAGGGTTGGGGTTGGGGTTGGGGTTGGGGTTGGGGTTGGGGTTGGGGTTAGGGTTAGGGTTAGGGTTAGGGTTAGGGTTAGGGTTAGGGTTAGGGTTAGGGTGTTAGGGTGTTAGGGTGTTAGGGGGTTAGGGTTAGGGTTAGGGTTAGGGTTAGGGTTAGGGTTAGGGTTAGGGTTAGGGTTAGGGTGTTAGGGGGTTAGGGTTAGGGTTAGGGTTAGGGTTAGGGTTAGGGTTAGGGTTAGGGTTAGGGTTAAGGGTTAGGGTTAGGG